>NT_187361.1:0-175055 GCF_000001405.40 Homo sapiens
GAATTCAGCTGAGAAGAACAGGCAAGGACTTAGGAAATATTCCTTATTTGAAGGGGCCTGAAAGTGTGGTCTGGGGTACAGCAGTGACCTGTCATACTTGAGAGGATTAAAATACTCTCCAAACACAGTCCCATTCCTTCAACCTTAGCTCGTTTTTTCCAGCGTCTGAGATATATTAAACCTAGTCCATCCCCAAATTTAGCATTAGATTGCGAAGTTCTATTGATTGTATTTGATTTGTAATTTAAGATTTTCTCCCCCTACGTAATTTTGTTAAAAACACAGAAGTGAATTCTGTTCACTTAGGTGTAACAGTTAATACTTGCTGTTTAAGGAACTAATTAAACCTTACTGGCTTATAAAAAACAACCACCATTTTATTGGTTTGAAGTTCTACGGATCTGCATTTTGGTGTGGTGGATTCAGCTGGGTAGTTGATATATGTGTGTTGCCTGGATCATAAAAAGGCCTTAGTCACCTGGTGCCTTGACTGAGCCTGGTTGGTTTAAGATAGTTTCCTTCACAATCTGGTGGTTTGTGGTGACTCTTGGCTAGGCCCTGTGTCTCCAACAGGGTAGCTCCAGACCTCTTCACAATTTCCCCCAAAAAGGGAAGAACCAATGGATATTTGCATCACATTTTCCATTGTCCATTCACTGGACAAGTCAGATGGAAAAGCCCAATTTATTGTCAGAGCATAATATGAGGGCTTGGATAGAAGGAAAGGTGTTATTGGGAAACATGAGTAGAATGGTGTACTGCAGGAAATACATATTATGTACATTTTTAAAAACATAATTGTAGGCCAAAATTGCTGGTTTGCAAGAAGCACTTTCCATGATGTTCAGGTATAGAAAAGCAAGATGTACTGTCATGGGAACACTCTTATGAAGTTGTTTGTGGAATCTACATATTAATAGGAAAATAGCTAATATAGCCCAGTATATTTCTATAACATTTATTTTAGTGAACTTATAATGTTTCTTTGTATTAAATTATTAGATTATATCTTTAGATAATATTGTTACTAAATTAGTAGGTAATATATATTTTTATTCAAAAATAAATTGTGCATCTAATGTCTACCAATTAATGTACTTGTAGATGTATCTTATCTTAACTTGAGTCTTTGCTGCCCCTAATGAGGCGTGAAGGATTCTTCTCCCCTGGGGAAGTTTTTCTTTTTCAGGAGGGAGGAGGGCTTTCCCAGGTAATGTGTCTAGAGTGTTGGGCAGAAGAATCTGGGACCAAACCACACCAGTTCTCTCCTTAATCCACGTCATTTGCCTTCTATCCCAGCTATGTTTCCAGTGTCCTCTGGGTGTTTCCAAGAGCAACAAGAAACGAATAAATCTCTGGTGAGTTGTTTATTTGTTCTTCACTTTGTTTTACACTGTATTTTCTGAGTTTATGGGTGTCTGTGAATTAAAAAGGAAAAGTAGAAATAAGTAAAACTCAGGTTGAAGGAAATATACATAAATAAGATAAAGCTGACCTGTAAATATAGGCAGGTTATAAGAGCTTAGAGTTGTCTAAGTTGAGTGCAAATTTTCCTCTGATCTTTCTGATGCCGAGACAAAAAAGGCAGTCATGTTTGTTACGTGATTAGAATGGAACCCGAGAAGAGAGCATGCTTTGTTCTTGTGGGACAGGAAAGCTTGCGTGCACCAAGTCTGAACCACCACCTTCATTGGTGACATAGATTATGTGCTGGAACATATTTCACACCGGCCTGGCAGTAAACACTTGTAGTGTTGTGCAGTGGAAACGGTCATCTTCCGCTAAAGCACGGCGTGTTGTGCAGTGGAAATGGTCATCTGCCGCTAAAGCACAGCTTCCATCGTAATGTATGCTCCTTGCTCAAAGAGTGTGGTCCCAAACAGCCTTTGGGAGGTCCTGCTTGATTCATGGATGAAACCCGGAACATCTTGAGGACTGAGTTAACCAAAGGTCCTTAAATAACTCTCCACACTTTTTCTTAGTTTGTCTCTACATGCAGGATGTGCAGCAGCCTGTTCAAAGTCATATTTTCTGGGAAATATTTCCAGTGTTTATTTGCACTTTAGCCCACTCTGTGTAGCCTTATTTCTTCTAAACTCACCATTAACCTGAATAATTGTCAAATTTAGGGGGACTGTATTTGCCTTACTCGAGTCTTCTACCATAGTTGAAACTGTCCTACCCGAGTGAGTTAGAGAGAAATGCCACGCATTGAGACGAATTCAGGAGTCCTTTACTAGCCAGCGACTGAGACATGGCTAACGCACGAAATTATCTCGGCCCCAAAGAAGGGACAAGATTTTCTTTTATACTTTGGTTTAGAGAGGGGAGGGGGGATTCTAGCTGCAGCAACTTTACAGAAGAAAAAAAACAGACAAAAAACTTAGAAAGACAGATGGTTACAGGAAAACAAACTGTTCCTGGTGTAGGGGCTTTAAATTCACCACAAAGTGATAGGTGAGGGGGCTCTGGGCATTATCTGCCGGACAAATGTGGGGGCTTTATGATACTATCTCTGAGTAAATTGCTGGGAACGGGGGACATCTCTTGTCTCAGCACTTTATCAGTTAATTGCACGCTTTGATATGTTGAAAATCAGCTTGCACAAGTTAAAGTCCTTGAGGAAAGGGGGTGGGTAAGGAGCCCTTGATGTCTTGTTAATGAAGGAGCCAAATGGAGTTTGTCTGGTTTTCTCAGCTAAGGGAGAGTCTATTCATATTAAAAACAAGGTTAGCTGTCTAAGGAAGAGTCTATTCATGTTAATACAAGGTTGGGTATTACAAAACGTCTGTTCATGATCTGGAAATTCTTCTGTGTTAGTTCTGTTAAAAGAAAAACTTTAAAGGAGTTTAATTTAGCAATAAACGATTCATGAATCGGACAGTCCCCAGAATCACAGCAGATTCACAGAGACTCCAGTGCAGTCATGTGGTGGAAGAAGATTTATAGACAAAAGGGAAGTGGCATACCGAAATCGGAAGTGGGGTACAGAAACAACTCAGCATTTGCCTTGTTTGAACACATTTTGAACATTTGGCAGTGCCTGAGTGGTTGAAGTTTGGCCATTGGGATTGGCCAAGATGTAGCTGTTGTTCCAGTGCATACTCTTAAGTTAGTTTTTCATTCTTGTATACCTATTAAGGTAGGTTGCAGTTCATCCACAAGGACTCATATATAGAATTATAGAGTCCTTCTCAGGCCATACTTAGTTCACTTTAACAATGCCTTCCCTTTGGTTATTTTCTCAATTTTGAGAGATTGGCCAAAACTTCAGTCACTGGTGTCACTATTACCATTGCAAATGTACTTACTTGGTTTAGAAACCCACTGGGAAATAGACCAGTGAGATTTGAAAAGGTGGAACAAGGACTTGAGTAGAAGGTATCTTCTTATGCTGGAACATCCTGTTTACAGGAGAAAAACAAAACCTGGTTTGTTCTAGGATTTATGTGTTTCCCTAAAGTCTTAGTTTGATTATGTTACATTTAGCATGAGTGACTCCATTTTGGCTTGGTTTGGTTTGGTCTGTTGGGACCTATTGCATGAGCTTAGTTCAAAACAATGGCCTCCCATAATTTTGCTTAAAACATTCCTCCTTTTTGCTGGGTGTGGTGGCTCACACCTGTAATCCCAGCACTTTGGGAGGCTGAGGTGGGCAGATCACGAGGTCAGGAGATTGAGACCATCCTTGCTAATACGGTGAAACCCCATCTCTACTAAAAATACAAAAAATTAGCCAAGTGTGGTGGAGGGTGCCTGTAGTCCCAGCTACTCAGGAGGCTGAGGCAGGAGAATGGCCTGAATCCGGGAGGCAGAGCTTGCAGTGAGCCGAGATCATGCCACTGCACTCCACTCTGGGGGACAGACCAAAACTCTGTCTCAGAAAAAAAAAATCCTCCTTTTCAGTCAAGTTCTCACTTAGTTGAGAGTGTGACCAAAATGTAGGGCCTTAGCATCACTCTTAGTTACCATTGTTTTGGGTTCCAGTTTTAGCATGTCATTCCCATTGTTTTGGGTTTCTGGTTTAGCACTTCACTCCCATTGTTTTGGGTTCCGGTTTTAGCACGTCACTCCCATTGTTTTGGGTTCCAGTTTAGCACGTCACTCCCATTGTTTTGGGTTCTGGTTTAGCACGTCACTCCCATTGTTTTGGGTTCCGGTTTTAGCACTTCACTCCCATTGTTTTGGGTATCTGGTTTTAGCATGACACTCCCATTGTTTTGGGTATCTGATTTTAGCACCTCACTCCCATTGTTTTGGGTTCCCAGGTTTTAGCACGTCACTCCCATTGTTTTGGGTTTCTGTTTTATCATGTCACTCCCATTGTTTTGGGTTTCTGGTTTTAGTACTTCACTCTCATTGTTTTGGGTTTCTGGTTTAGCAGGACGCTCCCATTGTTTTGGGGTTCTGGTTTTACACATCACTCCCATTGTTTTGGGTTTCTGGTTTAGCAGGTCACTACCATTGTTTTGGGTTCCAGTTTAAGCACATCACTCCCATTGTTTTGGGTTCCGGTTTTAGCATGTCACTCCCATTGTTTTGGGTTCCGGTTTTAGCACGTCACTCCCATTGTTTTGGATTTCTGGTTTAGCAGGTCACTCCCACTGTTTTGGGTTCCGGTTTAAGCACATCATTCCCATTGTTTTCATTTCCGGTTTTAGCACGTCACTCCCATTGTTTTGGGTTCCAGTTTTAGCAAGTCACTCCCATTGTTTTAGGTTTCTGGTTTAGCAGGTCACTCCCATTGTTTTGGGTTCTGGTTTTAGCAGGTCACTCCCATTGTTTTGGGTTCTGGTTTTAGCACATCACTCCCATTGTTTTGGATTTCTGGTTTAGCAGGTCACTCCCACTGTTTTGGGTTCCGGTTTAAGCACATCACTACCATTGTTTTCGTTTCCGGTTTTAGCACGTCACTCCCATTGTTTTGGGTTCTGGTTTTAGCACATCACTCCCATTGTTTTGGATTTCTGGTTTAGCAGGTCACTCCCACTGTTTTGGGTTCCGGTTTAAGCACATCACTACCATTGTTTTCGTTTCCGGTTTCAGCACGTCACTCCCATTGTTTTGGGTTCCAGTTTTAGCAAGTCACTCCCATTGTTTTAGGTTTCTGGTTTAGCAGGTCACTCCCATTGTTTTCAGTTCCGGTTTAAGCACATCACTCCCGTTGTTTTGGGTTCCGGTTTTAGCACCTCACTCCCATTGTTTGGGTTTCTGGTTTCGCAGGTCACTCCCATTGTTTTGGGTTTCTGGTTTAGCATGTCACTCCCATTGTCTTGGGTTTCTGGTTTAGCATGTCACTCATAGGTTACGGTGTCCTTATGGTTGCACATTTTTTTTTTAATCTCTTGTCATTCCAGTTGAAGAGATACCATTTGACATTTTAGAGATGGCTGCATGCAAACTTTTAAAACATTTGAGTAAGTACAGTGCACCAGGGAGACTCTTATGACTATTGGGATAACACCAAGAATTTGGTATATGCTCCTTACTCAGGGTCCCCATAAATCAAACCACCTAAAATCAAATAGATTAAAGAATGAATTAGATAAAGAGTTTACTTGCTTAACTAAGTGGTTTTTTTGTTAATTCCCTACAACCAAATCTTTATAATACCCCATGTTTTCTCCACATGCTGTAAGTGTTAGCAGCTGCACAGATACTTAAGATAAGAGTCTCATGATAGTAGAGAAGTCTTGATCTGTGATCTTGGGAAAAGCTGTTAACATTAAGGATGTCATCTTCTTCTGGGGGGAACTGTCCTTGTTAGCTTTACCTTAAGGGTTCCAATGGGCATGTGGTTCCGAGTGTGGAGGGACCCTTCTGAGTTGTGAGACTATGAACCCAAAGTTTAAGGTTTTAAAGTTTTGCTGTCATGTGGATGGCGAGGGCAGTCCTTCTCTGATATTCTCAGAAGATCCAGTCATCAGATTCTAGATTTTGAAGGGTTTGACTGTCCTCAGTGAACCATAAAAGGCTTTCTTTACCTGGTGAAAATACACTTCAGGGTAATAATCTACTCTTTTAACATCAACTCTCTCACATGGAAGAGCTTTTATACAATCAGAAAACATGCACTGAAAATGAAAACTGAATGAAATCCCTTTATAAAATGTTTAAATGGCCCATCAGATAACCAAATGTACCTGAAGTTTTGATTGTTTTCCTAGGAATATAGGTTTCACAAACCAAACATTGGTTATAAACTATTTTAGCAGTTTAGAAATCACCACACCAATATATTTAATTTGGATCATTTTCTCTTTCCGTGATGAGTTATGGAATGCAGAACTTTTAATAACAAAAGATTTTAGGACTTAAGAAGGATAAGGTGGCCATCCTGGTTCTTCATAGGTCTGTGCTTAATTAACATCAGACTTACATCCTCTTGAATACCAGCTGTTTCTCCAAATTAGGTGCAAGGCACTGGTAACTGATGAGTAGTTATAGGTAATTTGATTTAGACCATGGAATTTATTTAAATTATATATCTAAACAATTTCAATATTGGTGATTTAGCATGCAAATGTGACAAAATATTTCCTTGGTATACAATTTTTGTTTTACTTGGGTTAGCAGTTTTACAAACCAGTTGGACTTTTTATTAAATTTTTGATATTTTTTTTTTTTTGAGACAGAGTCTCACTCTGTTACCTAGGTTGGAGTGCAGTGGCACAATCTTGGCTCACTGCAACCTCCGCCTCCTGGGTTCAAGCAATTCTCTTGCCTCAGCCTCCCGAGTAGCTGGGATTACAGGCACATACCACCACACCCAGCTAATTTTTGTATTTTTAGTAGAGGTGGCGTTTCACCTTTGGCCAGGCTGGTCTCAAACTCCTGACCTCAAGTGATCCGCCAGCCTTGGCCTCCTAAAGTGCTGGGATTGCCGACATGAGCCACTGCACCCAGCCTAACTGTTGAGAATTCTTAGCCAGTCTAATTCTTGGGGTATCGGGGAACTTATGGGGAATTTTTACCCATGATATTAAAGTTATTAGAAATCTGTGTTCACGAGTGTTTTTCAGGGTCCTTTTCATTCTTTCATGAATCTTCTAAGAGACACCATATTCTAGAATTTTGCATGCTTGTGAAGTTTTTAGAAACTGCATCACCATTAAGCAATTAACTGTGAAATGACTTTAGTTATAGTTAAAGACAATTGACAAGGAAATTTGGTTATTTCTGTGGTCTACAATAACTTAATAACCATAATTAGGGTGGATGTGGTGGCTCATGCCTGTAATCCCAGCACTTTGGGAGGCTGAGATGGAAGGATCATGAGGTCAGGAGATCGTGACCATCCTGGCTAACATGGTGAAATCCATCTTTACTAAAAATACAAAAATTAGCCTGGCATGGTGGTGGGTGCCTGTAGTTCCAGCTACTCGGGAGGTTGAGGCAGGAGAATGGCATGAACCCGGGAGGCGGAAGTTGCAGTGAGCCGAGATTGCACCACTGTACTCCAGCCTGGGTGACAGAGCAAGACTCCATCTCAGAAAAAAAAAATACAAGAATTTTAGAAATCCTATACAATTTTAGAATGGATTGATGACATACACTAAATATAACCTGAGGAAGGTTCCACATTATTTTTTGTTTTGACAGTGCGACCCATGTGACTTAACATGTTAAATAGTCCTGTTTACCTCTCTTTTGGGTGCTTCAGGGGTCTCTGTAGTATCCCAAAGTTAGAGGTCAGAAAAGACAATTTTGAAGTTGAAATTTGATTTTGGGAAGCCTATTAAATATATTAAAGGTTTAAACACTTGATGTTATGAAATAGAATTCCACATCACCGTAAGTCATTCATTTACCTAAAATCATGACTTAAAAAATTTTTATTTTTTATTTTTATTTTTTATTATACTTTTAGTTTTAGGGTACATGTGCACATTGTGCAGGTTAGTTACATATGTATACATGTGCCATGCTGGTGCGCTGCACCCACTAACTCGTCATCTAGCATTAGGTATATCTCCCAATGCTATCCCTCCCCCCTCCTTCCACACCACAACAGTCCCCAGAGTGTGATATTACCCTTCCTGTGTCCATGTGATCTCATTGTTCAATTCCCACCTATGAGTGAGAATATGCGGTGTTTGGTTTTACGTTCTTGTGATAGTTTACTGAGAAGGATGATTTCCAATTTCATCCATGTCCCTACAAAGGACATGAACTCATCATTTTTTATGGCTGCATAGTATTCCATGGTGTATATGTGCCACATTTTCTTAATCCAGTCTATCATTGTTGGACATTTGGGTTGGTTCCAAGTCTTTGCTATTGTGAATAATGCCACAATAAACATACGTGTGCATGTGTCTTTATAGCAGCATGATTTATAGTCCATTGGGTATATACCCAGTAATGGGATGGCTGGGTCAAATGGCATTTCCAGTTCTAGATCCCTGAGGAATCGCCACACTGACTTCCACAATGATTGAACTAGTTTACAGTCCCACCAACAGTGTAAAACTGTTCCTATTTCTCCACGTCCTCTCCAGCACCTGTTGTTTTCTGACTTTTTAATGATTGCCATTCTAACTGGTGTGAGATGGTATCTCATTGCGGTTTTGATTTGCATTTCTCTGATGGCCAGTGATGATGAGCAATTTTTCATGTGTTTTTTGGCTGCATAAATGTCTTCTTTTGAGAAGTGTCTGTTCATGTCCTTCACCCACTTTTTGATGGGGTTGTTTTTTTCTTGTAAATTTGTTTGAGTTCATTGTAGATTCTGGATATTAGCCCTTTGTCACATGAGTAGGTTGCGAAAATTTTCTGCCGTTTTTTAGGTTGCCTGTTCACTCTGATGGTAATTTCTTTTGCTGTGCAGAAGCTCTTTAGTTTAATTAGATCCCATTTGTCAATTTTGGCATTTGATGCCATTGCTTTTGGTGTTTTAGACATGAAGTCCTTGCCCATGCCTATGTCCTGAATGGTAATGCCTAGGTTTTCTTCTAGGGTTTTTATGGTTTTAGGTCTAACGTTTAAATCTTTAATCCATCTTGAATTGATTTTTGTATAAGGTGTAAGGAAGGGATCCAGTTTCAGCTTTCTACATATGGCTAGCCAGTTTTCCCAGCACCATTTATTAAATAGGGAATCCTTTCCCCATTGCTTGTTTTTCTCAGGTTTGTCAAAGATCAGATAGTTGTAGATATGCGGCGTTATTTCTGAGGGCTCTGTTCTGTTCCATTGATCTATATCTCTGTTTTGGTACCAGTACCATGCTGTTTTGGTTACTGTAGCCTTGTAGCATACTTTGAAGTCAGGTAGTGTGATGCCTCCAGCTTTGTCCTTTTGGCTTAGGATTGACTTGGCTATGCAGGCTCTTTTTTAGTTCCATATGAACTTTAAAGTAGTTTTTTCCAATTGTGTGAAGAAAGTCATTGGTAGCTTGATGGGGATGGCATGGAATCTGTACATTACTTTGGGCAGTATGGCCATTTTCAAGATATTGATTCTTCCTACCCATGAGCATGGAATGTTCTTCCATTTGTTTTTATCCTTTTTTATTTCCTTGAGCAGTGGTTTGTAGTTCTCCTTGAAGAGGTCCTTCACATCCCTTGTAAGTTGGATTCCTAGGTATTTTATTCTCTTTGAAGCAATTGTGAATGGGAGTTCACTCATGATTTGGCTCTCTGTTTGTCTGTTGTTGGTGTATAAGAATGCTTGTGATTTTTGTACATTGATTTTGTATCCTGAGACATTGCTGAAGTTGCTTATCAGCTTAAGGAGATTTTGGGCTGAGACAATGGGGTTTTCTAGATATACAATCATGTCATCTGCAAACAGGGACAATTTGACTTCCTCTTTTCCTAATTGAATACCCTTTATTTCCTTCTCCTGCCTAATTGCCCCTGCCAGAACTTCCAACACTATGTTGAATAGGAGTGGTGAGAGAGGCCATCCCTGTCTTGTGCCAGTTTTCAAAGGGAATGCTTCCAGTTTTTGCCCATTCAGTATGATATTGGCTGTGGGTTTGTCATAGATAGCTCTTATTATTTTGAAATACGTCCCATCAATACCTAATTTATTGAGAGTTTTTAGCATGAAGCATTGTTGAATTTTGTCAAAGGCCTTTTCTGCATCTATTGAGATAATCATGTGGTTTTTGTCTTTGGCTCTGTTTATATGCTGGATTACATTTATTGATGTGTGTATATTGAACCAGCCTTACATCCCAGGGATGAAGCCCACTTGATCATGGTGCATAAGCTTTTTGATGTGTTGCTGGATTCGTTTTGCCAGTATTTTATTGAGGATTTTTGCATCAATGTTCATGAAGTATATTGGTCTAAAATTCCTTTTTTGGTTGTGTCTCTGCCTGGCTTTGGTGTCAGAATGATGCTGGCCTCATAAAATGAGTTAGGGAGGATTCCCTCTTTTTCTGTTGATTGGAATAGTTTCAGAAGGAATGGTACCAGTTCCTCCTTGTACCTCTGGTAGAATTCGGCTGTGAATCCATCTGGTCCTGGACTCTTTTTGGTTGGTAAGCTATTGATTATTGCCACAATTTCGGCTTCTGTTATTGGTCTATTCAGAGATTCAACATCTTCCTGGTTTAGTCTTGGGAGAGTGTATGTGTCGAGGAATTTATCCATTTCTTCTAGATTTTCTAGTTTATTTACGTAGAGGTGTTTGTAGTATTCTCTGATGGTAGTTAGTATTTCTCTGGGATTGGTGGTGATATCCCCTTTATCATTTTTATTGCGTCTATTTGATTCTTCTCTCTTTTTTTCTTTATTAGTCTTGCTAGAGGTCTATCAATTTTTCTGATCCTTTCAAAAAACCAGCTCCTGGATTCATTAATTTTTTGAAGGGATTTTGTATCTCTATTTCCTTCAGTTCTGCTCTGATTTTAGTTATTTCTTGCCTTCTGCTAGCTTTTGAATGTGTTTGCTCTTGCTTTTCTAGTTCTTTCAATTGTGATGTTAGGGTGTCAATTTTGGATCTTTCCTGTTTTCCCTTGTGAGCATTTAGTGTTATAAATTTCCCTCTACACAGTGCTTTGAATGTGTCCCAGAGATTCTGGTATGTTGTGTCTTTGTTCTCGTTGGTTTGAAAGAACATCTTTATTTCTGCCTTCATTTCCTTATGTACCCAGTAGTCATTCAGGAGCAGGTTGTTCAGTTTCCATGTAGTTGAGCAGTTTTGGGTGAGATTCTTAATCCTGAGTTCTAGTTTGATTGCACTATGGTCTGAGAGATAGTTTCTTATAATTTCTGTTCTTTTACTTTTGCTGAGGAGAACTTTACTTCCAAGTATGTGGTCAATTTTGGAATAGGTGTGATGTGGTGCTGAAAACATGTATATTCTGTTGATTTGGGGTGGAGAGTTCTGGAGATGTCTGTTAGGTCCTCTTGGTGCAGAGCTGAGTTCAATTCCTGGGTATGCTTGTTGACTTCCTGTCTTGTTGATCTGTCTAATGTTGACAGTGGAGTGTTAAAGTCTCCCATTATTAATGCATGGGAGTCTAAGTCTCTTTGTAGGTCACTCAGGACTTGCTTTATGAATCTGGGTGCTCCTGTGTTGGGCGCATATATATTTAGGATAGTTAGCTCTTCTTGTTGAATTGATCCCTTTACCATTATGTAATGGCCTTCTTTGTCTCTTTTGATCTTTGTTGGTTTAAAGTCTGTTTTATCAGAGACTAGGATTACAACCCCTGCCTTTTTTTGTTTTCCATTTGCTTGGTAGATCTTCCTCCATCCTTTTATTTTGAACCTATGTGTGTCTCTGCACGTGAGATGAGTTTCCTGAATACAGCACACTGATGGTTCTTGACTCTTTATCCAATTTGCCAGTCTGTGTCTTTTAATTGGAACATTTAGACCATTTACATTTAAAGATAATATTGTTATGTGTGAATTTGATCCTGTCATTATGATGTTAGCTGGTTATTTTGCTAGTTAGTTAATGCAGTTTCTTCCTAGTCTCGACGGTGTTTACATTTTGGCATGATTTTGCAGCGGCTGGTATCGGTTGTTCCTTTCCATGTTTAGTGCTTCCTTCAGGAGCTCTTGTAAGGCAGGCCTGGTGGTGACAAAATCTCTCAGCATTTGCTTGTCTGTAAAGTATTTTATTTCTCCTTCACTTATGAAGCTTAGTTTGGCTGGATATGAAATTCTGGGTTGAAAATTCTTTTCTTTAAGAATGTTGAATATTGGCCCCCACTCTCTTCTGGCTTGTAGGGTTTCTGCCGAGAGATCCGCTGTTAGTCTGATGGGCTTCCCTTTGAGGGTAACCCGACCTTTCTGGCTGCTCTCTACATTTTTCCCTTCATTTCAACTTTGGTGAATCTGACAATTATGTGTCTTGGAGTTGCTCTTCTCGAGGAGTATCTTTGTGTCATTCTCTGTATTTTCTGAATCTGAATGTTGGCCTGCCTTGCTAGATTGGGGAAGTTCTCCTGGATAATATCCAGCAGTGTTTTCCAACTTGGTTCCATTCTCCCTATCACTTTCAGGTACACCAATCAGATGTAGATTTGGTCTTTTCACATAGTCCCATATTTCTTGGAGGCTTTGCTCATTTATTTTTATTCTTTTTTCTCTAAACTTCCCTTCTCACTTCATTTCATTCATTTCATCTTCCATTGCTGATACCCTTTCTTCCAGTTGATCGCATCAGCTCCTGAGGCTTCTGCATTCTTCACGTAGTTCTCGAGCCTTCGTTTTCAGCTCCATCAGCTCCTTTAAGAACTTCTCTCTATTGGTTATTCTAGTTAAACATTCTTCTAAATTTTTTTCAAAGTTTTCAACTTTGCCTTTGGTTTGAATGTCCTCCCGTAGCTCAGAGTAATTTGATCGTCTGAAGCCTTCTTCTCTCAGCTCGTCAAAGTCATTCTCCATCCAGCTTTGTTCCGTTGCTGTTGAGGAACTGCATTCCTTTGGAGGAGGAGAGGCGCTCTGCTTTTTAGAGTTTCCAGTTTTTCTGTTCTGTTTTTTCCCCATCTTTGTGGTTTTATCTACGTTTGGTCTTTGATGATGGTGATGTACACATGGGTTTTTGGTGTGGATGTCCTTTCTGTTTGTTAGTTTTCCTTCTAACAGACAGTACCCTCAGCTTCAGGTCTGTTGGAGTTTTCTAGAGGCCCATTCCCGACCCTGTTTGCCTGGGTATCAGCAGTGGTGTCTGCAAAACCATGGATTTTCGTGATCCGCGAATGCTGCTGTCTGATCGTTCCTCTGGAAATTTTGTCTCAGAGGAGTACCTGGTCGTGTGAGGTGTCAGTCTGCCCCTGCTAGGGGGCGCCTCCCAGTTAGGCTGCTCGGGGGTCAGGGGTCAGGGACCCACTTCAGGAGGCAGTCTGCCCATTCTCAGATCTCCAGCTGCATGCTGGGAGAACCACTGCTCTCCTCAAAGCTGTCAGAGAGGGACATTTAAGTCTGCAGAGGTTACTGCTGTATTTTTGTTTGTCTGTGTCCTGCCCCCAGAGGTGGAGCCTACAGAGGCAGGCAGGCCTCCTTGAGCTGTGGTGGGCTCCACCCAGTTCGAGCTTCCAGGCTGCTTTGTTTACCTAAGAGAGCCTGGGCAATGGCCGGTTCCCCTCCCCCAGCCTCGCTGCTGCCTTGCAGTTTGATCTCAGACTGCTGTGTTAGCAATCAGCGAGACTCCGTGGGCCTAGGACCCTCCGAGCCAGGTGCCGGATATAATCTCATGGTGCGCCGTTTCCTAAGCCCGTCAGAAAAGCTCAGTATTAGGGTGGCAGTTGCCCGATTTTCCAGGTGCCATCTGTCACCCCTTTCCTTGACCAGGAAAGGGAACTAACTCCCTGACCCCTTGCGCTTCCCGAGTGAGGCAATGCCTCGCCCTGCTTCGGCTAGTGCACAGTGCACTTCACCCACTGTCCTGCACCCACTGTCTGGCACTCCCTAGTGAGATGAACCCAGTACCTCAAACGGAAATGCAGAAATCACCCATCTTCTGCATCGCTCATGCTGGGAGCTGTAGACCGGAGCTGTTCCTATTCGGCCATCTTGGCTCCTCCTCCCATTATTTTTTAATATTTTCTGAAAATCTTCTTTAAAGAGAGAAAGCCAAATGTCACCCACTTTTTCATAAAACCTTATAGGCAAATCTATTATTCTTTTCTTTTTTGAGATGGATTTTCCCTCTTGTTGCCCAGGCTGGAATGCAATGGTGCGATCTCAGTTTACTGCAACCCCCTGCCTCCCAGGTTCAAGCGATTCTCCCGCCCCAGCCTCCTGAGTAGCTGGGATTAGAGGCATGCCCCACCATGTCCAGCTAATTTTGCGTTTTTAGTACAGACGGGTTTTTCCTTGTTGGTCAGGCTGGCCTTGAACTCCTGACCTCATGTGATCCACCTGCCTCGGCCTCCCCAAGTGTTGGGATTACAGCCATGAGCCACTGCCGCAGGCCATTTTTTTTTTAAAGATAGCGTCTTGCTCTGTCACCCTTCTCACCACATTATAGCTCTGGGGGCCAAGCTGCATCACAATGGAAATCATGGAGCCACAGGAAGAATCCACTCAGCTTTGCAAGATGCTGCCCAAGGGGTTGCTTGGAGTAACCAAATTAACATTTTTCATTCTGCTCAGAGCAAAATATATGTGACAAAACATAGACACGAGCCACTTTGCTTACCACCCAGTGTCAAACTGGTAAGACTCAAACTTGCTCCCAGATAGGCTGTGCCATCTCTAAATCTTTTTAGAAGCTTCTGCATGTTAATAGGCATCCCTAGATGAGACTAATTTGGGAGCCCTCATTTTTAAATGCACTTCAGGGCATTATTCATTTGGAATGTTCCACTATAAGTTATCTTTAGTAAGATTTTGCCATTTCTGTAAGACTTTGCTGCTTCCCAGGCCTAATGAATTAGCCAGGAAGAACTTAGTTTTCCGGAAATTAAGGATCCTATTTTTACCTAATATATTGGCTTTACTCCCAGGTTCCCTTGATTGACTTAGCCAATGATTTTTTTTCCTACCTAAACATGTGAGGAAAATGAAACAAAGGGGCAGAACACAAAAATCCCCGTGAATTTCCAAAAGCCAAATTTTACAATCCTCCAATATTATCATTTACTACCACTTTCCTTCTGACCCATTCAGATGTAGGAGGCCTCTAACTGGAACTGGATTCAAGCCAGTTAACTACTGGATCAAATCTGATCCTGGACCCGGTCCCATTTCTGTCATAACTTCTAAAACATCCAGCCAGTCATGGCTGGATAGCAGTTTGGAACAGAAATTTGCTCAGAGAAACTCAGCTCAAAACACAAATCCATGGAGCTCTGAAATCCGAGAGAGAATTTACCACGATCCCCAGATGCTCTGAGAGGTCAAAGGGCACAAGTGTTACAGAATCCTGAGGCGTCACTTTTCTGCCTGAAACCTCTGGCTGGTGGCACCTTTACCTGTGTTTTGCTCGGGCCCACTGTGTTCGTTCTGTCCACTCGGCTCATGCTAGTGGTCTGGATCCCACACCTGCCAAGGGTGAGCTGGGTACAGAGCAGTGAAGGGGGTGTGAGCATGTGAGCATGGGATCTGGCCACTGCACACAGCCAAGCATGCCAGCTGCAGTGGGGTGGGCAGCTCCAGGTACCGGCACAGGTGCCAGCTCCCTGTGAGGCTGCAGCTGGACCAGACTGACTGCAAACAGCTTCCACTGTGGGTATCAGGGAATGCAGTGGTGCCTGGAAGCTTGGAGATGCAGGAACTGCAGAGCCCCAAATAAGGTGTCACAGCCCTGGCTTGGGGAGCTCCTAGGTCTGGGCTCCCTGAAGGGCCAAAGCTCTTGTCTCCTTCTCTCTTCTCTTCTTCTTGCCTGCAATTTGGCAAGCAAGGGGTGCGTTTCAGCCCTGTTTATGTTACATCTCTTTCAGCCCTGCTAGTTGGCAGGTCCCAAGTTCTTGTCCTGAGTCCAGGAAGAATGAGGTATGTGGGCAAGTAGAAGGTGAGCAAGGTGAAGAGGTGCTTTATTGAGCAACAGTACAGCTCAGAGGAGACGTGCAGTGGGTAGCTCCTTTCTGCAGGCAGGTCATCCCAACGTCTGTTCAGCTCTCAGCAGCTGAGAGAGATGCATGGTGGTTAGCTATGCCCACAGTGCCCAGGCTTTTCGAGCAGAGGAGTGCCTTCAGGCCAGTGCTGAGCCACTCTTAGCCTCACTTCAATGTCCCTCCTGTGCTCATCAGTTCCCAAAGTGTGGAGAGGGCCGAGGTGGCAGGGGGCTGGCATGTCAGCACTGCCCTGAGCTTGCACAAACTGGGCTGGGTTGCAACTGTGCCTGGGTTCAACCTCAACTTGGATCCGAAGTTGGAGTGGGCTCTCGGAGCGGAGAGATGCCAGGTGGTAGGAGCAGGTATGACTGGACCTGCAGGGGCAGGGGGGCTTGCTGGGCCTCTGAGAGTGCAAAGATGCCTGGGTTTGCTGTCATGGGTGGATGGCTGCAGCTGTGCCTGGGAGGGTGGGGCTCCTGCTTGCCAATTTAGAAGGGCTGGGTCTCCCACCCGTTCCTGGCTCCCACTAACTTTGAGGAGTGCACAGCCCCAGCCACTCCTCCCCACTGCAGCCAGTGTCTCCGTAGCAACTGCTCCACATGGGCCACTGTTGCCATCATAGAGCGGTCCTTGCAGGTGCCTTTCTTGTACCTCAGCACTCCTGGGGGTCATTAGAAGCCCTAGCAACACTGCTCACCACACTATAGCTCCGGAGGCCCTAGCAGTCCTGCTCCCACAGATCCCACTTCTGACACCATCTATTAAAAGAAAATCTTCAGCTGAATTAAATTTAAAGAAACTTAATTGAGCAATGAATGATTCACGAATCAGGCAGCCCCCAGAATCACAGCAGATTTGGTGAGACTCCAGCACAGCTACATGGTGGAAGATTTATAGAGAATAAAGGGAACGTGATGTACAGAAATCTGAAGTGAGGAGTGAGGTCCAGAAGCAACTGGGTCCCTTACCGTTCTCAGCAGTGAGGTCCAGAAACAACTGGACTGGTTACAGTGCTCAGCATTTGCCTTATTTGAACACAGCTGAACACTCAGCAGTGTGTGAGTGGCAGAAGTTTGGCTGTTGGGATTGGCCAGGACTCAGCTATAGTTACAGGTGCATACTCCAAAGTTAGGTTATCAGTCTTTCTACCTATTAAGTTAGGTTGCAGTTTGTCCACAGGGACTCAAATCTAGAAGTACAGAGTCCTTCCCAGGCCATATTTAGTTCACTGTAACAGTTCCTATTATGACCTCACTGACAGTTCTTTTTCTCTGAATTTTCCTTTCTTCTCAACAGCTTGTCCAAATGTTCCATTGGTCCCTGTTCATCCCGCCCTGCAGCTCTCCTTGACTGATTCTGCCCTTTGTGGTTTGCAGTCCTGTTTCTCTACAGCTTGGACCCCTTCAGTCTTTCCATCATAGGTTTAACTCTCTGTTGAATGCTTCTTTGTAGCTACGCAAAAGTTACCTTAAGCTCAAAAAATTCAAAGTGAAAGCCACATCCTCCTCTCTTCCCTTATGTGTATGGTATTACTACCATGCAGCCAGTGACCCAAAATGGGATTTCTTCTGGGCTTTTCTTGCTTAGATTCAGGCTCATCTGGTGTCAAGCCTTGTTACTTTTGTTTCCTTGTTCTTTTATTTTTAATTTTTTTTCTTTTGAGACAGAGTTTCGTTCTTGTTGCCCAGGCTAGAGCGCAGTGGTGTGATCCCGGCTCACTGCAGCCTCCACCTCCCGGGTTCAAGCAATTCTCCTGCCTCAGTTCCTGAGTAGCTGGTATTACAGGCATTTGCCACCACGCCTGGCTAATTTTGTATTTTCAGTAGAGATGGGGTTTCTCTGTTTTGATCAGGGTGGTCTCGAGCTCCCAACCTGAAGTGATCCACCCGCCTCGGCCTCCCAAAGTGCTGGGATTACAGGCATGAGCCACCGTGCCTGGCCTGCTTGTTGTTTTCATCTCATCCTGATTTCTGAATACAGGAGAGGAGCTGAGTTGGTGTTCACTAACAAGCACAGAAGCTTTGTTACATTTACAGTGTCATTCTTGGCAAAACCTGAATGGTATGTTTGTGGGGTGATGAGGTTCAGTCCCCTGTGACCTGTGTATCTGGCCAACACTGTGGTGACATCCTTAGGAATCCATGGGGAGAGACAAAGCATTCAGGAGTTAGTGGGTCACATTTGACAAGGGCCAATAAAGAAATATGCAAAGACAAAAAACAAGAAGAACATTGTCATATTTTATACCTTTTGTTTATATAAATTTATGTCAATGATTCTAGCTTAATGTTAATATGCAATGTATACAATATGCTAACATATACAATATATGTTTATAGTTTAAACATTTCTGTCATGTTTTCAGATTCTTTAAAGATTATATTACACTTCCTATTTCAGATAGCTGTTTAAAATGAGTAAGGAAAAACGGATGTGTGCATCAGTTCTAACTGTTTATGGACTAAAACTAGTTGATTACTTGGTTAAGAACAAAAAGTGACAACCTAATTAACTGAAAATTTTAAGTAGGCAATTATGGTTTTAGCTTTAATGTAAAATATTAACTATGCTCCATTCTTGCATTTTTAACCTAATACTCAATATAAATCGCCACATGCCATGTTTCAGATCAAGGTTCTACTTGTGATCTCTCATGAGTTTTTCAAGGTTTTAATTATCTGAGATATAACAATGTACCCGTAACCTTACTGGCTTAAACCAGGAATTTATTCTTTTTACATGTCACAATTTTCTGGGTCAAGACACTGGACAGGGCTGTGTTGGTTGGTTGCTTCATGATGTCCCTGGTCTCATCTGGAAGGACTCTAGTGGCTGGGGACATGGAGCAGGCACCCAGCCCTCTCTTTGTGGCCAGCACGGACTTCCTCCCAGTCTGGCAGCATCAGGTAGTCAGGTTTGTCTGGCTTCTCCCAGGGTGTGTGTCCAAGAGGCCCAGGCAGAAGCTGTAAGGCCTCTCATGATTGCCCCTCAGAAGTCCCAGAGCATCTCTCCTGCCACACTGTCCAGTCGTACTCATCACTGAGACAAGCCATGATTCAAGGGGGGACGATGATTAGATTCCACCTCTTGATGAGAAGCATAGTAGGAACCTGCAGCAGTCTTTAATAAACCACAGCGTGTCTTCTGGCCACAAACTATTAACGTTTCTCCCACATGCAAATTATGCTTTGCCCCTCTCAAGAGCCCCAGAATGGTTTTCCTTATGGCACTGGCTAGTAGCCCAACTGAATCCTGAATCAGGTTGTGGTGGCTTGTCATCTGCACCCACACACACTCAGCAGCAGTGAGGACTGAAGCAGGTTGTGGTGGCCTGTCATCTGCCCCCCCACACACAGCCACAGTGAGGACTGAATCAGGTTGTGGTGGCCTGTCATCTGACCCCCCACTCTCAGCCACAGTGGGGACTGAATCAGGTTGTTGTGAGCTATCATCTGAGCCCACAAACTCAGCCGCAGTGAGGGGACTGCTGTGAAAACAGTCGACATTTCCCTTTAGAAGCTTTGGTGGGAGGCAAGAGGGAAGTGCTGCCCTGCAGGCCTCGTCTAAGAGTTGGTCATTCCCATGGGGGGCCTGTTACAGTTCTGTGATTAGTGCCCAGTCCTGGTCCCTGAGAACGGCACCCAGTCCCGGTCCCTGAGAATGGTGTTTGTGTCCTTTTACTCCTCCCTCTGGGCTTTTGTCATTCTCCATGTTCTTTTTGCTTCAGTGCCTGGGTTGCCGTTGACCAACTTTCCCTGCCTTTTTCTTAGGGTCAATAGGGTATTCAATGGCTTCTTTTTCATTTTTTTTTTTCTTTTCTTTTCTTTTTTTTTTACTTTGGCCTTTTGAGACAAGAAATTATTTCTTTATATTTTCTCTAAATTCTGTTTGAAAGCTGAACCTTCTTCTTTAGATCATGTACCTCTCCTGTCATATTTATTCAGTGACAGTTAGGGGAGGCTGGTAGCACTTTCCATGTTCTTCCCAGATGTCTCCTTAGGCAGATCCCTGAGATGGTGCAGTGCCCTTTCAGTTTCCATGTTGTGGCCATAGTTTTCCCACAGTCCCTCAGCACGTAACTCTCAGGCCTTTTCTCCAGTTTCCAATGACATTTTCTCACCGTCCTTCAGGCCCTGACCAAGAGTCTTGATGCCCTTCCAGGTTGCATGAATGGTCTCCTTGAGGCCCAGTTACAGGTCAGCCTCACAGTCGTGTCACATATTGTAGCTTCTGATTACCACAGCAGCTCATTTCCAGCTGCCATATTCTGTTCCAGTTATCTATTCTGAAGTAAAACAACTCATTATTACTTGTTTTTTGGCTTAGAGAGTCTTGGTGGTCAGCTCATCTCACACACAGTTGCAGCCAAGTTGGATTGTGTGAAAGCACAGTGGGGTGGTGTGCAGGGTGGCTCACTAGTGGTTGGGAGTGGATGTTGCTGAAGGCTCACCAGTTGTTGGGAGTCGGTGTTGCTGGAGGCTCAGTGGGGGATGTCAATGCGTGTAGCTAGTCATGGACTGGTCTTGTGGTTTCCATCATGAGGTCTCAGGGGAGTGGGATTTCCTGCCCAGTGACTGGCTTTCTCCTGGATAAGTGTTCTGTTTTCTCAGCCTGGCTTCTGAAGTCCCCAAATACCCCCTTTGTCACCTTCTGTTGGCCAAATAAGTCAGTAGTCTGGTCAAGGTTTAAGGGGAATTGGTTCTCACAGAGAGAGGAGCAGGAAAGAATTTGTCACCTTTAGTCTACCAGAAATGAGATTTTTATAACAAGTTTATTCCAAATACATTCCAGTTCCCCTTGTGAATACTTTTTTGACTCACAGGGTATTTCAAAGTTTATTACTTGGTTTTTAGACATTTGAGGCTTTTCTGGATATCAATTTGTTGTTGGTTTCTAATTTAATTTCAAGTGTTCAGACAACATACTTTGTATACTATTTCAGGCTTGAACCTTTTCTCAATCGATTGACATACAGTTTATCTTGGCACTGCCAAGTACCATTTGGGCCAGGATTTTGTCATTTAGATCCGTATTTTCCTATATTTTTATCTGGTTGTTCCATCAGTTACTGAGAGAGCAGTATTAATTCACCAGCTATAATTTTGGATTGTCAATTTCCTGCTTTTGTTTTGTTGTTTTTGATTCACATACTTTGAGGCTCTGTGTGTGTGTGTGTAGTTTGTGTGCACTTTGAGGCACAATTTATAATTGTAACATCATCCTCTCTGATTCTTTTATTTTTATTAAATTACCCTGTTTATTTCTGGTGATATATTTTGTTCTGAAGCCTCTTTCATCTAGTGTTAACATCTCTGTTGAAGCTTTTTATGATTAGTGTCTGGATAGCATATTTTTATGTTTAGTGTCTGCATAGCATATTTTTTCTCATACTTTGTGTCTTTGTGTTTAAATTGTGTCTCTGTGGATGCCATATTGTTGGGTCTTGCCTTCCTCTCAGGTCTGGCAGTCTCTGTCTTAAGTAGAGTATTTGTCCAGTTACATTGTAACTAATCATTGCTAAGGTTGGATTTAGGTCTACCATTTTTCTAGATATTTTCTATTTGTTTGTTTATTTTTTTTTTAAGAAGGTTCTTGCTCTGTCACCCAGACTGTAGTGCAATGGTGCAATCTTGGCTCACTGCAACCTCTGCCTCCCAGGCCCAACCAATCCTCACTTGAGCCCCCTGAGTAGCTGGGACTACAGGTGCATGGCACCACACCTGGCTAATTTTTATATTTTTTGTAGAGATAGGGTTTTGCCATGTTGCACAGGCTGGTCTTGAACTCCTGAGCTCAAGCAATCTACCCACCTTGGCCTCCCAAAGTGTTCAGATTACAGGCATGAGCCACCATGCCTGGCCTTCGTCTGTCTTTTGATATTCTATATATTCTTTCCTATCTACTTTTGGGTTAAATATTTCTAAATATTCCAGTTTGATTAATCTTTTGGCTTTTTGAAATTTTTTTATAGGCTGGGCATGTTGGCTTATGCTCATAATCTCAGCTCTGTGGGAGTCCAAGGGAGGTGGATTGCTTGAACCCAGGAGTTTGAGACCAGCCTGGGCAACATGGCAAAACCCTCTCTACAAAAAAAACAAACCAAAATTTAGCCTTACATCTTGGTGTGCACCTGTAGTTCTAACTATTTGGGAGGCTGAGGTGGGAGGGTTGCTTGAGCCTGGGAGGTTGAGGTTCCAATGAGCTGTGATCATGCCATTCCACTCCTGCCAGTGCAACAGAGTAAGACCGTGTGTCAAAAAAGATCATTTTTTATAAATAATTTATAATTTCGAATTTTGGTAACAAACACTTACCTTAAAATTTACCATCATAACCAGTTGTAAGTATACAGTTTTGTAGAGTTAAGAATATTTACATTGTTGTGCAGCAGATTTCTAGATTTTTTTTTATCTTGGAAAACTCTATACCCATTCAACAACTATTAATTTCCCCTTCCTTCCACCTCCTGGCAAGTACTATTCTACTTTGTGTTCCTAAAAATTTGGCTTATATACCTAGGGTTATATAATATTTGTTTTTTAAGTAGGTTCCATGTTATGTGCAGATGTGTCAGGATTTTCTTCCTTTCTATGGCTGAATAATATTTCTTCATATATATATATTTTCTCTCTCTCTCTATATATATATATGTATATCCTTTTGTTTATCCATCTATTCCTGGATGGACGTTTTGGTTTCTTCCACCTAGTGGCTGTGTAATGCTCCTGTGAACATAGGTGTGCACATATCTGTTTGAGTTCCTGCTACTAGTTATTCTGTCTCTGTAGAAGTTGGATGGCTGGATCATATGGTCATTTTATTTTATTTTTTTGAGGAGCCAGTTCATATTTCCACCAACAGTGTTCAAGTGTTTCAGTTTCACCTGCACTTGTTACTTTCTTTTGGGTTTGAAGTGATGTCCCATTGTGGTTTCTATTTGCATTTCTCTAATGATTAGTGATGTTACACATCTTCTCATATATCTCATGTATCTGTTGGCTATTTGTATATCATGTTTGCATCTTTGGATGAATGCTCTTTGTCCATTTTTTAATCACTTTATTTTGTTGTGTTGTAGCGGGGTTTTTTGGTCATGATCATTCATTTATCTCACAGTTCATTCTTGTTACTTGGGCCAGGGTCATGATCATTCATTATCTCTCAGTTCATCCTCATTACGTTGGGCAAACAGTCATGCTGCAGGGTATAGATTATGTTATTCTGTTACTTTCAGGTAGAATTGGGGTCTGGATTCTAATTGTTTCTAAGTTTAGATTCTGAATGAGAATCAGCAGAGGTAGACCACTGCTGCTGAGGCCTGGGGATTGCTGGGAAAAAGGCAGGAAACAGATACGCACCTGACCATGGAGGGTTTATGTTTCACGGCTCCCATCTGGGTACCCAAAGAACCTACATGTAGCTCGTGTGTGGAAAGCCTACATTGCCCACTCAAAGCAATTGAGGATGGAACAGTCTTGGTGCTGGAGCTCATTATTTGGAATGATAACCACATCTGCACAGAGAGGACCTGATAAGATGTTGTCCTTCCATGTATATCTGGGAATCCTGTGTAGGGTCTCTCTGTAAGGACAGGGTCAGTGTTGGCTTCTTGGCCTCTAGTTAGCTTCACAAGTAGTCTAGTAAAGGCTTTGCAAACCTGTCACCATCTGTGGACATTCTGGCCAGCTCTTGTTTTCACCCTACTGACTTCTTCAGACACTAGGCTTTTGCTTTAGACCAGTCATGGTTTTATTCCTCTTCAAATCAGTAATCAATAAATCGTCTTCAAGTCAATAAATTTCCACTCCTTTAGGAAACCCTGATCTTCTGGTCACACCAAGGTTTAATTATCTGGTTTGATTGTTTTTCTGTTTTCTTGGATTTTTTTTTCCTTCTTCCTGGGGGTTTCTAGTAATTCTAGTTTGATGTCTCACTTTCTCCATTTTTTATTTCTTAGTTTTCTTCTGTGATTATTTTCACTGCAGCTGCAGGGCCTAATCCTGGGTTGGCAGAGAACTAGCACTTATTCTGCCCTAATTGGAATCCAGGAGAGATAGGAGGTTCCCTAGTGTGAAAATGTGTTTGCTCCTCTCTGCTTCTGGTAGTCTCTCTGTAGGAGTTCTTTACATATTCTGAATGTTCACTTCTTATGAGATACATGATGAGCAACTATAGGTTGAATGTCTCTGATCCAAAAATCTGAAATCCCAAATGCTCCAAAGTCTGAAACTTTTTGAGTGCCAACATGACATTCAAAGGAAATGCTTATTGGAGCATCTCAGACTCAGGTGTTTGAATTTGAGATCCTCAACCAGTAAGAATAATGCAAATATTACAAAATCTGAAACATATCCCAAGCATTTCAAATAAGGGACACTCAACTGGTATTTTTTTTAATTTTGCAGTTTGCCTTTTACCCTGTTGGTTGTGACCTTTGAGGTACAGAAGTTTTTAGGTTTGATATATTTTTGCTTTTACTGCCTGAGCTTTTAATGTCATATCCTAAAAATTATTGACAAATTCATCGTCATAAAGCATTTTCCAAATTTGTTTTCCCTAGGAGTTTGATAGTTCTAGTTTTACATTTAGGTTTATAATTCACTTTGAATTGATTTTAACGTCGTGTAAGGTAAGAGTCCAACTTCATTGTTTTGCATGTAGTTATACAATTTTCCCAACACCATTTGTTGAAGAAACTGTGCTTTGCCATTGAGTGGTCTTGGCATCCTTGTGGAAGATCATCGGACCATATATGCCAGGGTTGGTTTCTGAGGTCTCTGTTGTGTTGGTCCATAAGTGTGTCAAGAGTGTCTTTATGCCATTACCACATTTTTTTTTGGCTTATTGCAGTTTTGTAATTGCTTAGAGACCTTTAATTTTGTCCTGTTTCAAGATTGATTTGCCTATTCATGGGCCCTGGAGATTCCATATGAGTTTTAGGATAGGTTTTTCTGTTTATCAAAAATGTCATTGGAATCTTTATAAGGATTGTATTGAATCTAGGTCACTTCGAGTAGTGTTGACATCATTCCAAGATGAAATCATCTAATCTGCAAACCCAGCTTTTCTTTTCATTTATTTGTGTTTAATTTCTTTTAACAGTGTTTTGTAGTTTTCTGTGTTCAAATCTTTTGCCCTCTTGGTTAAGCTTATTCCTAATTTTTATAATGCTGCTGTAAATATAATTCTTTTTTTTTTTTTTTTTTTTTTTTTGAGATGGAGTCTTGCTCTGTCTCCCAGGCTGGAGTGCAGTGGCACTATCTCAGGTCACTGCAACCTGCACCTTCCTTATTCAAGCGATTCTCCAACCTCAGCCTCTCAAGTACTTGGGATCACAGGTGCCAGCCACCATGCCCAGCTAACTTTTTGGTATTTTTAGTAGAGACAGTGTTTCTACATGTTGACCAGGCTAGTCTTGAACTTGTGACCTCAGGTGATCTGCCCGCCTCGGCCTCCCAAACTGCTGGGATTGCAGGCATGAACCACCGCACCCAGCTAAATGTCATTCTTTTTAAAAATTTCTTTTCTTTTGTTTTCTTTCCTTTCTTTTCTTTCTCTCTCTTTCTTTCCTTTCTTTCTTTTTTTTTGAGACGGTGTCTCACTCTGTTTCCTAAGCTGGAGCACAGTGGCACAATCTCAGCTGACTGCAACCTCCACCTTCCAAGTTCAAGCAATTCTCCTGCCTCAGCCTCCCAAGTAGCTGGGACTACAGGTGTCTGCCACTATGCCCAGCTAATTTTTGTATTTTTAACAGAGATAGAGTTTTACTATTTATATTAGAGATGGGGTTGACCCAGCTGGTCACGAACTCCTGACCTCAGGTGGTCCACGCGCCTTGGCCTCCCAAAGTGCTGGGATTACAACTGTGAGCCACTGCACCTGGCCTCTTTTTAAAATTTTATTTGCAGATTGTTCATTGTTAGTTTATAGAAATGCAACTGACTTGTGTGTGTTACTGTATCCTGAAACTTTGTTGAATTTCATTATTCTACCAGTATTTTGTGGAATTTCAGGATTTTTACACATTACATCATGTTGTCTGTGAACAAAATTTTGTCCTTTTTCCTTTCCAATTTGCATGCTTTTTATTACTTTCTCTTGTCTAATTATTCTGAGTAGAAATTCCAGTACTGTTGTGAATAGAAGTGGCAGGAAGAGATGTTGCTATCTTATTCCTGATCCTAGAGGAAAAGATTTTAGTTTTTCACCATTCAGTATGATGTTAGCTGTGAGCTTTTCATGTATAATCTTTATTTACTGAGGAGTTTCCATATATTACTAATTCTTTGAGTGTTTTTATTACAAAAGGTGTTCATCTGGTTCTGGAACCAGGTAAATGTTGACCTGATAGAATGGATTGGAATGTCCCCTTCTGGTTTTTGTACATTTTTGGAATATTTTGCAAAGGACTGGCATTAATTCTTCTTGAAATGTTTGGTAAAATTCTCCAGTGAAGTTATCTGGACCTGGAATTTTCTTTTTTGGGGGGTTTTTGATTACTGGTTGAATCTTCTTACTAGTTACAGGTCTCTTTGGATTTTTTATTTCTCCATGATGCAGTATGGTGGTTTGTGTATCTAGGAATTTATAAATTTATTCTAGGTTGCCCAGTTTTGTGGCATATGGTTGCTCACATTAGTCTCTTGTAATCTTTTTCATTTCTGTGGAATCTGTTGTACTGTCACCTCTTTTATTTATGATTTTAGTATTTGAGATTTCTCTTTTTTCTTAATATAGCTGTGAGTTTTAAAATTTTTATTGATCTTTAAAAAGCAAACTCAGTGTTTTTTTTTTTCCTTTTTTTCTGATCTTATTCTGCTTATCTCTATTCTAATCTGTTACTTTCTTCCTTTTGCTTGGTTTGTCATTAGTTTTTTTTTTTTTTTTTCCCTTTAGGTGTAATATTAGGTTATTGATTTGAGATCTTTCTTCTTTTTAATTTAAGCACCTGCAACTATAAGCTTCCCTTTAGCATGGCTTTGAGATCTTTCTTCTTTTTAATTTAAGCATCTGCAGCTGTAAGCTTCCCTTTACCATGGGTTTGAGATCTTTCTTCTTTTTAATTTAAGCATCTACGGCTGTAAGCTTCCCTTTAGCACTGCCTTTGTTGCCTCCTCCTGAGTTTGGGTATGTCATGGTTTTGTTTTCATTTGCTTAAACATTTTTTTGTCCTATTGTAATATAATTGTGTTGTTTTTAATAGAGGTAATTAATGAAACACATAATGAATTGTGCTTCTGTTTTTATAATATTTTAAGCATTCTTAACTCAGAAATGTAAATTTTAGAAAAAAATTCCAGGCCAGGCACACTGGCTCACACCTGTAGTCCCAGCACTTGAGGAGGCTGAGGCGGGAGGATCATCTGAGGTCAGGAGTTGGACACCAGCCTGGCCAACATGGTGAAACCCTGTCTTTACTAAAAATAGAAAAAAAATTTAAAAAAGCTTGCTGGGTGTCATGGCGGGTGCCTGTAATCCCAGCTACTCTGGAGGCTGAGGCAGGAGAATCACTTGAATCTGGGAAGCGGAGGTTGCAGTGAGCTGAGATTGCACCACTACACTCCAGCCTGGGTGGCAGAATGAGTCCATCTCAAAAAAAAAAAAAAGAAAAAAGAAAAAATTTCAGACATATTTATTTGTATTTCAATTTAGAAACTATGATCTCCTAAGTGTATTGACACAGCAACCTGACGTAAAGATAAAGAATAATAAGCATATAACAAAACGGAAACTTGCAAATACCTGTTTTTTATTAATTTTTAATTATATATATTTAAAAATTGCCGGATGCAGTGACTTACACCTGTAATCCCAGCACTTTGGGAGGCTGAGGTGGGCAGATCACATGAGGTCAGGAGTTTGAGACCAGCCTGGCCAACATGGTGAAACCTCATCTCTATTAAAAATAAAAAAATTAGCCAGGCGTGATAGCATGCATCTGTAGTCCCAGCTACTCAGGAGACTGAGGCAGCAGAATTGCTTGAACATGGGAGGCAGAGGTTGCAGTGAGCCAAGATAGTGCCACTGCACTCCAGCCTGCGTGACAGAATGAGACTCTGTCTCAAAAAAATAAAAATTGGGCACGGTGGCTCACACCTGTAATCGCAGCATTTTGGGAAGCTGAGGCAGGCAGATCACGTCAGGAGATCGAGACCATCCGGGCTAACACGGTGAAACGCCATCTCTACTAAAAATACAAAAAGTTAGCCGGGCGTGTTGGCGGGTGCCTGTAGTTCCAGCTACTCCAGAAGTTGAGGCAGGAGAATGGTGTGAACCTGGGAGTTGGAGCTTGCAGTGAGCTGAGATTGAACCACTGGACTCCAGCCTGGGTGACAGAGCAAGACTCTGTCTCAAAAAAAAATAAAATAAAACTAAAGTGTGGTTGACATACAAAAATTACACATATTTAATATATACCTTTGTGTGTGTGTGTGTGTGTGTGTGTGTGTGTGTGTGTGTTACGGAGGTTTTACTCTTGTTGCCCAGGCTGGAGTGCAGTGACATGATCTCAGCTAACTGCAACCTCCGCCTCCCGGGTTCAAGCAATTCTCCTGCCTCAGCCTCCTGAGTAGCTGAGATCGCAGGCGTGCGCCCCTACACCCGGCTAATTTTTGTATTTTTTTAGTACAGACAGGGTTTCACCATGTTGGCCCGGCTGGTCACAAACTCCTGACCTCAGATGATCCACCTGCCTCGGTCTCCCAAAGTGCTGGGATTACAGGCGCGTGACACCGAATATATACATCTTAATGAGTTTAGAGATAAGTATTCGCCCCAGGACTCATCACAACAAATAATGCCGTAAACTTGACCATCACTCCCCATATATTTCTCATTCTCACCCTTTTTAAAAAATGAGACCGGGAGTGGTGGCTCACGCCTGTAATCCCAGCATTTTGCGAGGCCGAGGCAGGTGGATCACGAGGTCAGGAGATCAAGACCATCCTGGCTAACACAGTGAAACCCCGTTTCTACTAAAAATACAGAAAATTAGCTGGGCGTGATGGCGGGCACCTGTAGTCCCAGCTACTTGGGAGACTGAGGCAGGATAATGGTGTGAACTCGGGAGGCAGAGCTTGCAGTGAGCTGAGATGGTTGCACTGCACTCCAGCCTGGGCAACAGAGTGAGACTCCGTCTCAAAAAAAAAAAAAAATGAGATGACCATTTCACCTAAAATATACCCTCTTAAGTTTTATTTTAAGTGTACAATACAGGACGGCCATGCATCAGAGATATATGTGGGTTTGGTTCCAGACCACTGCAATAAAGTGAGTTATACAATTTCTTTTGGTTTTCCAGCGCATGTAAAAGTATGTTTATACTGTGCTGTATAAAGTGTGCAATAGCATATGTCTACAAAGTGTTCACACTTTAATTTACAAATACTTTATTGTTAACAAGTGCTAACAGTCATCTGAGCCTTCAGAAAGCTGCAATCTTTTTTTGTGTGCTGACAGGGTTTTACTCTGTGGCTCAGGCTGGAGTAATTGCAGCCTCAACCTCATGCTCAATCAAACCCCCACCTCAGACTCCTGACTAGCTGGAACTACATTTGCATGCCACCGTGTCCAGCTAATTTTTGTATTTTTTTTTTTTTTTTTGTAGAGATGGGGTTTTGCCATGTTGCCTTGACTTCCTGGGCTCAAGCAATCTACCCACCTTGGCCTCCCAAGGTGTTGGGATGACAGGTGTGAGCCACTGCACCTGGCCAAGTTTCAGTCTTCTTGCTGATGGAGGGTCTTGCCTTAATGTAAGGTGGTGGTTGCTGAGCGTTGGGGTGGCTGTGGCAATTTCTTAAAATAAGACACCATTGAAGTTTGCTGTGTCAATTGACTCTCCCTTTCACAAAAGAATTATCTGTAGCATACGGTGTTGTTTGATAGCTTTTTACCCACAGTAGAACTTTCAAAATTTGATTCAATCCTGTCAAACCTTCATACAGCTGTACCAACTAAGTTTATGTATTATTGTAAATCATTGGGTTCAATTCTGTCAAGCCCTCCTTCTGCTGTACCAACTAAGTTTATTCTAAATCTGTTGTCATCTCAACATTGTTTACACTGTCTTCACCACGAGTAGATTTCATCTCAAGAAACCACTTTCTTTGCTCATCCGTGGAAGCAACTCATCCACTCACGTTTTCTCCGGAGGCTGCTGCAATCTCGCCAGACCTTCAGGCTCTGTCTCTGATTCTAGTGCTCTTGTTATTTCCACCATATCTGCAGTTACCTCCTCCACAGAAGTCGTGAACCCCTGTGTCATCTGTGAGGGTTGGAATAATCTTCCCAACTTCTCTCTCTCTCTCTTTTTTTTTTTTTTTTTGAGATGAAGTCTTGCCTGGGCTGGAGTGCAGTGATGCGATCTCAGCTCACTGCAACCTCCATCTCCCAGGTTCAAGCAATTCTGCCTCAGCCTCCCAAGTGTTTGGGATTACGGTCACCCCGACCAGGACCAGCTAATTTTTTTGTGTTTTTAGTACAGACAGGATTTCACTATGTTGGCCAGGCTGGTCTCAAATTCCTGACCTCGTGATCCACGTTCCTTGGCCTCCCAACATGCTGGGATTACAAGTGTGAGCCACCACGCCTGGCCCCAACTTCTCCTAATGTTGCTATTTTGATCTTATTTTTTAAATCATGAATGTTCTCAATGGCATCTAGAATGGTGAATCCTTTCCAGTAGGTTTTCAATTATTTTGCCCAGATCCATCAAAAGAATCACTTTCTAGAGAAGTTATAGCTTTATGAAATATATTTTTTACGTGATAAGACTTGAAAGTTGAAATTATTCTTTGATCCAAGGGCACCAGAATGAATGTTGGTTTAGTAGGCATGAAAACAATATTCAGCTCTTTATACATCTCTGTAAAAGCCCCTGAGTACAAGGGGCATTGTCAGTGAGTGGTAATACTTTGAAAGGAATCTTATTTCTTTAGCAGTAGGTGTCAACACTGGGCTTAAGATATTCAGTAAACCGTATTTGTAAACCGATAGTCTGTCATCCAGGCTTTGTTCCCATTTGTAGAGTACAGACAGAGCTGTGTTTTATCATAATTCTTCAGGGCCCTCGGATTTTCAGAATAGTAAATCATCATTGGTTTCAAGTTAACATCAATAACTGCATTAGCCCTTAACAAAAGAGTCAGCATGTCCTTTGAAGCCTTAAAGCCAGGCATCAACTCCTCTCTAGCTGGGAACATCCTAGATGACATCTCCTTCTAGTAGAAGGCTGTTTTGTCTCCATTGCAAATCTATTTAGTGTAGCCATCTTAATTAGTTATCTTCTAGATAGCTTTCTGCAGCTTTTCCATCAGTACTTGCTGCTTTATCTTGCGCTTTTATGTTATGGAGATGACTTTTTTCCTTAAACCTCAAGAAACAAGCTCTTCTAGCTTCAGACTTTCCTTCTGCAGCTGCCTCACCACTCTAAGTCTTCATAGAATTGAAGAGAGGCCGGGTGCGGTGGCTGTCACACCTGTAATCCTAGCACTTTGGGAGGCCGAGGCGGGCAGATCACCTGAGGTCGGGAGTTCGACGCCAGTCTGACCAACGTGGAGAAACCCCATCTCTACTAAAAATACAAAAAATTAGCCAGGTGTGGTGGTGCATACCTGTAATTCCAGGTACTCGGGATGCTGAGGCAGGAGAATGGCTTGAACTTGGGAGGCAGAGGTTGCGATGAGCCAAGATCATGCCATTGCACTCCAGCTTGGGCAAGAAGAATGAAACTCTGTCTCAAAAATAAAGAAAAAAAAGTAAAAGGAGAGTTAGGCTTAGGCTTAATGGAATGTTTTTTGTTTTTATTCATCTTCTATCTAGACCAATTAAACTTTCTTCATAACAGCAGCAAGATTGTTTAGCTTTTTATCATTCATGTGTTCACTGGAGCAGTACTTTAAATTTCTTTCCAGAACACTTCCTTTGCATTCACAACTTGGCTAAGTGTTTGTTGCATGAGGTCTAGCTACTGGCCTGTCTTGCTTACAGCATGCCTTCCTCACTAAGCTTAATTATTTCTTCCTTTTGGTTTAAAGTGACAGACATGCAACTCTTCTTTCATGAACATATAGAGGCTATTGTAGGGTTATTAATGGGCCACATTTTAATATTAATAAAAAGAAGCCAGAGAAAAAGAGAAAGAGAAATGGCCCGTTGGTTGGGCAGTCAGAACAAACGCATTTGTCAATTGTTTGCTGTCTTATCCTGGTGTGATTTGTGGTTCTCAAAACAATGACAACAGTAGCATTAAAGATCACTGATTACAGATCACCACAACAGATTCAATAATAAAAATCTTAAAATACTGCGAGAATGACCGAAATTTGACACAGAGACGTGAAGTGAGCACGTGCTGTAGGAACAATGGTGCCAGTGAGAACTGCTTATTGCAGGGTGGCCACAAAGCTTCAATATGTAAAACACATGGTCACAAAATACAATAAAGCAAAGTGCAGTGAAACAAGATGTGTCTGTCTTTTGATAGACTGTGACAATCTCTACCTTTGAATTGGTACATTCATACCATTAACATTCAAAGTGATTATTGATATCATTGGATTAATATCTACTATATTTGTTACTGTTTTCTATTCATTCTCCTCAGTCTCCATTCTTTTGTCTACCACTCTTTTTCTCCCTTTTGCAGTTTTCATTGATGATTTTAGATGACTACATTTTCCCTGTCTTTCTTAGCACGTACTTCTCTTTTTAAAACCTTTTTTAACTAGTTGCCACAGAATTTGCAATATACATTTACAACCAATGCAAGTCCACTTTCAAGTAACACTATCCAACTATCCCACAAATAAGACTACCTGCTTAACAAACAAAACACCTAATTCCTCAGTAACATTTACAACCAATTCAAGTCCACTTTCAAATAACACTATCCCACTATCCCACAAATAAGACTACCTGCTTAACAAAGAACACACCTAATTCCTCAATATACATTTACAACCAATTCAAGTCCACTTTCAGATAACACTATCCCACTTCACGGGTGACTACCTGCTTAACAAAGAAAACACCTGATTCCTCCCTCCCATCCTTCCATTCCATTCCTTGTATTATTGTTCCTTATTTCACTTGTGTATAAGCATGCATAATCTATCTGTGTGTATTCATTATTATCTACAAACTTATTGGTCAGATCAATTATGAATAAATACATGTTTTTATTGTACCACAATGCCTCCCTCCCATCCTTCCATTCCATTCCTTGTATTAATGTTACTCATTTCAATTGTGTATAAGCATACATAATCTATCTGTGTGTATTTGTTATTGTCTATGAACTTCTTGGTCAGATCAATTAAGAATAAATACATAGGTTTTTATTGTACCACAATTCTTTCTTTAATGCTCTTTTTAAAAAAATGTTGATCCAGGTTTCAGTTACATATCTTTTGTTTCCCTAAAGAATTTCATTTAAAATTTCTTGCAAGACAGGTCTCCTGGCAACAAGTTTCTTGAATTTTTATTTTTCTGAGGAAGGCCTTAATTCTCCTTCACTTTTGAAGGGTGTTTTCAGTGGGTACAGAAACTTAGGTTGGTGGGTTTTTTTCTGTCAACATTTTGAATTTTTCATTTCACTGTCTTCTTGCTTTCACAGTTTCTGCAATGTTGAATGCAGTTCTTATCTTTGTGTCTCTGTAGGTAAGGTGTTTTCTGCCCCACCTCTGGTTTCTTTCAGAGTTTTCCTTTATCTTTTATTTCATATAGTTTGAAAATTATATGTCCAAGTGTAGGTTGTTGGCATTTATTCTGCCTGGTGTTCTCGGAGCTTCCTGGATCTTTGGTTTGGTGTCTGACATTAATACTGGAAGTTCTCAGACATGGTTGTTGCAGAACTTTCTTCTATTTCTTCTCCTCCTGGTATTCTCATTACTCTGTTTCACCTTTTGTAGTTGTCCCACAGTCTTGAATATCATCTTCTGTTCTTTTCAGTGTTTCTTTTCTTTAGGTTTTGAAGTTTCTGATGATAAATCCTCAAGCTCAGAGATTTTTACTCAGCTGAGTCCAGTCTACTAATAAGCCATCAGAGGTATTCTTCAGTTATTTACCACGTTTTTCATCACTACATTATGTTGAAAGTTCTTACGATGTTTGTCTTTCTGATAACATTACCCATCTACACTTGAATACTGTCTACTTCATTCATTAGGCCCTTAGCATATTCTCCAGAGGTTTAAAAAAAAATTCCAAAATCATATCTTTGTCTGCTTCTGAAGCTTGCTCTTTTGACACAAATTGTATTTTTTTCTTTTTTTGGATTTTAGTATGCCTTGCAATTTTTTCCCTTTATTCTCATGCATGAAGCACCCACGAAAAGTGACTGCTGTTAGTATAGCTTCAGTAATGCGGTGATGAGGTGACAGGGCAGGTGATGCTCTCTTAGTCTCTTTAGGCTACTATAACAAAATACTTCAGACTGAGTAATTCATAAACAACAGAGATTATTGCTCACAGATCTGGAGGCTGGAAAGTCCAAGACTAAAGGGCCAGGATATTTGGTGTTTGTTGAAGGTCAAACATTCAGACACTCACAATGACTATAGCGACAGCAGCAGTCTTCAGGAATCCTATGTGAGGGACAAACACTCAGAAGCCAGCTGGAGTGTTCTAGAATCCTATGTGAGGGCCAAACATTCAGACCCCAGCAGTAGTGTTGTGGAATCCTATGTGAGGGACAAACTTTCAAACCCTTGTAGCAGTGTTCCGGAATGCTATGTGAGGGACAAACATTCAGACCACGGGAGCAGTGTTCTGGAATTCTATGTGAAGGACAAACATTAAGACTCTCATAGCAGTGTCCTGGAATCATATGTGAGGGACAACCATTCAGACACCAGCAGAAGTGTTCTGGAATCCTAGGTGTGGGAAAAACATTCAGAACCTAGTAGCAGTGTTCTGGAATCCTATGTGAGGGACATACCTTCAGACCACGGCAGCAGTGTTCTGGAATGGTATGTGAAGGACAAACATTCAGACCCTTGTAGCAGTGTTCCGGAATTCTATGGGAGGGACAAACATTCAGACCACAGCAGCAGTGTTCTGGAATCCTATATGATGGACCAACATGCAGAACCTTGCAACAGTGTTCTGGAATACTAGGTGAGGGAAAAATATTCACACCCTTGTAGCAGTGTTCTGGAATTCTATGTGACTGACAAACATTCAGACTCCAGCAGCAGTGTTCTGTAATCCTATGTGAGGGAAAAACATTCAGATCCCAAGAGCAGTGTTCTGAAATCCTATGTTAAGGGAAACATTGAGACCCCAGCATGAATGTTCTGGAATCCTATGTGAGGGACAAACATTCAGACCACAGCAGGAGTGTTCTGGAATCCTATATGAGGTATAAGCATTCAGACCCTCATAGCAGTGTTCTGGAATCCTATGTGAGGGAGAAGCATTCAGAGCACAGCAGGAGTGCTCTGGAATCCTATGTTAGGGACAAACATTCAGAACCTCGTAACATTGTGCTGGGAACCTATGTAAGGGACAGACATTTAGACCCTCGCAGCAGTGTTCTGGAATCCCATGTGAGGGTCAAACATTCAGATCCTCGCAGCAGTGTTCTGGAATTCTATGTGAGTGACAAACATTCAGACTCCAGCAGCAGTGTTCTGTATTCCAATGTGAAGGACAAACATTCAGAATCCAGGAGCAGTGTTTTGAAATCATATGTTAAGGGCAAACATACAGACCCTAGCATCAATATTCTAGAATCATATGTGAGGGACATACATTCAGACCCTCGCAGCAGTGTTCTGGAATCCTAGATGGGGGACAAACATTCAGACCCCAGCAGCAGGCTTCTGGAATCCTATGTGGGGGACAAACATTCAGACAATGGCAGCAATGTTCTGGAATCCTATGTGAGGGACAAACACTCAGAGCCTTGTAGCAGTGTTCTGGAATCCTATGTGAGCGAGAGTGCCTGGAGCCTACCCAACCTGACGCCCCCAAAGCCCTCACAGGGTCTGACCTCCCAGCATGCACCTGTCTCTCCCTGAACCCCAACTGCCCACCCTGCCTTTTCCCTGGCCTCCTCCATCCTGTGCAGCCCATAGACTGTGACCTTCTCTCCAGCCACTCTGGCCCTTCCTTTACCTTTGTCCTGTCAGAATCTCTGAGCAGGATCTCCCAGGTCCATCCAAATACGTGCTTTGTCCACTTCTGACTAGGCCCTTGGGCATCACTGGGCTATCCCAGCTGTCCACAAGGCCTTCAATAATGCACATTGCACCTGGCTTATCCAAGCAGTGCTCAGCAGCCCACATTGACCAGGTCCCTGCTGACCAGACCCTGCACATCAGGTCCTCCCTGATGACACCCTCACTGATTAGACCCTCATGACCAGGCCCCACTAACAAGGCCCCCACTGCCAGGCACACAATGACAAGGACTCCACTGACCAGGACCTTACTGACAAGGCCTCACTGACAAGGACTCATGGACTAAGTCCTTACTGACAAGTCCTCACTGACTAGGTCATTATTGACAAGGCCTCACTGATCAGGTTCCACTGATCATGACCTCATTCCCTGGCCCCAAAGATGAGGCCCCACTGACCAGGCCTCCAGGGAACAGGTTGCCACTGATCAGGCCCCTAATAACGAGGCCTTATGTCACCAGATGCCCCTGACTGGGACCCTAGTGAGTAGACCCCACTGAACCGGCACCAAATGCTGAGATCCCCGCTGACCAGGTCACCCTGTAGACCGGTGCTACAAAAGTCACCACTGACCAAGTCCTCTCTGACCAGGACACTACAGATTAGGTCCCACCGACAAGGCTGCCCTGACCAGGGCCCCACTGACAAGGGCCTCACTGATGAGGACACGCCCACCAGAGTCTGCTGACTAAGTCCCATGTGCCCACTCCTCCACTGAATAGCACCCCTTGACCTGGTCACTAGTGCCCCAACCCATGCTGACCAGGCCAGCACTAAGCCCCAGCTGACCAGGTCTCCACTGATCAAGCCCCACAGCCCAGGTTTGCACTGACCAGACACCAAACAACTGGCAGCCAATAGGTCCCCACTCACCAAAACCCCACTACTAGACCCCACTAATGAGACCCTCTCTAAGCAGACCCCTGCTGACCACGATCCCACTAAATAGTCCTCACTGACCTAGGTCCACTGACCAGGCCCACACTGATCAGGTCCCTCCTAACCACGCCGGAAATCCAAGCGGCAATGACATGTTTCATATGGCAGAAGTTGGAACAAGACAGAGAGAGGAAAGAGGTTCCACAGCCTTTTAAACTACTAGATCTCATGAGAACTCACTCACTATCAGGAGGATGGCATTAAGGGCTTGGTGCTTTGCCATTTGTGAAGGATCCACTCCCACTCCTTTATGATTAAAGCTTTTTCCACCTAGGCCCCGACTCTAACATTAGGGAGTGTACTTTCACATGAGTTTTGGAAGGGGCATAGAGAAAAACCGTATTATTCTGTCCCTGACCCCACAAATCTCATGTCCTTCTCACATTGCAAGATACAGTCATGCCTTGCCAGCAGTCTCCCAAAGTCTTAACTCATTTCAGCATTAACTCAAAGTTACAAAGTCCAAAGTCTCATCTGGGTCAAGGCTACATTCTCTTTTGCCTACGAGTCTCTGAAATAAAAAGCAAGTTCACTGTGTCTAAGGTACAATGATGGTACAGGCATTGTGTAAGCTTTCCATATCCAAAAGGGAGACATTTTCCAGAAAGCTTCTTATTTTTATCTGAGGCCCCCTCAGCCTGGCCTTCACTGTCCATGTTTTTGTCAGCATTCTTGTCACAGCCATTTAACCAGTCTCTAAGATGGTCCAAAAATGTTCTCATCTGTCTGTCTTCTTTGGAGCCCTCCAAACTCTTCCAACCTCTACTCATTACCCAGTTCCGAAGTTGCTTCCACATTTTCAGGTATCTTTATAGCAATGCTCCAGTCCTCATTTGCCATTTTTGGTAAGATTTATTTTGAAAAAGAGGTTTAATTGGCTCATGGTTCTGCAGAGTGGACAGGAAGCTTAGTGCTTCTGCTTCTGGGGGGCCTCAGAAATCTTTCAATCATTGTGCAAGGTAATGAAAGAGTGAATTGTCTCACATGACAAGAGGAAATCACGGAGAGTACGGAGTGATATAGAGTTTTCAGTGGCCAGATCTCACGAGAAGTCACTCATGATTGTGAGGACAGTACCAAGGGGATGGTGCTGAACCACTCATGAGAAATTTGCCTTCATGATTCCGTCACCTTATACCAGGATCCACCTCCAACATTAGGAAGCATAACTCAACATGAGATTTGGTGGGGACACATATTCGAATTGCCTCATCAGTCTTTGAGTATACAGACATCCATAGCAGGCTTTATCCAGCCAGCTTCTTTGGGATTCTTTATAGGGTTTCAGATCTATAGGATATCCACTAAAATATTCCTACTTCAAAAGGCAATAAAGTAAGTGGTATTATCATTCTTCAAAAAGTTATAATGGTAGTGTAGGCATTCATAGTATGATTTAGTTCATTTGCTACTGTTTCTATTCTATCACCATATTAACACTTTCCTACACAATTCTATATTCAGCTGGGTTTCAGTTGAGCACAAAGTCATCCTTGTACTACCACCGATAGCTGGCACCAGCTCTTTGATACTGTTATCATTCTGCTGTAGAAAGTACCCGTGAACTGGAAAAAGTCCACAATTGAATAGCTAGTCATTCAACACTATCAAATTTTAGGTGACTTTTTGAAAAAATAGTATCTCTTGTTGCAAGAAATGTTCCATCTGTGATTTCAAGTCTCTCACTTGAGTGAATTGGATGGAAGTGGTAAATTTCAGCCAAAGTGGCCAAAGAAATCCTGTTCCTGTGATAATGACGCCATCAGCCTCTGCACCTCTGTCTTCCCTTCTGCCACATGTTGCCTGTTCTCCGTGACTTTGGTAAGAGCTTCCTTGTGTATGTGGATGATGTCCAGGATGTTTGTCTTGTGTCCCTGAGACAGCACTAACAGGTCCATGGCTGGGTCCAGGTCCTTCCTGGACTGACTGGCAAGGAGCTTACTGATGTTCTTGAAGGCATCTCTGGTGAAGTGGATGGCCTAGTCAAGTTCCAAGGCCTGGCTGAGGCTGAAGAAAAACTGGCCACCTTCTGATGCTCTTTCTAAAAGCCTGTCACTGTCATTTGCTTGCTTGTCAACTCATTGGCTGTGAGGTTGAACTGAGTGGCCTGTGTCCATCTTTTTGGGGAACTATTTGAAGCCATCAGTCTTGCTCTCCCACCCCTAAAGGTTGATGGTCACCACCTGGGGGTGTGCTGAGGGTCAGAAAGAAGCCAGCACTCACTATCTCATCCTTCTCAGCTTTCCTCTTGCACTCTCTCCAGGCTGTCTCTTCAGTGGTGGTGGGATATATCAGAAAGTGATGGAAGATGTGGCACTGTGCCCACACCTAGAAGCTGGCCATGTGGTTGGCTCATCCACCAGAATGGATGCTCCGGGTGCTCTTTGAGCCAGCTTGGCCTTGCCTAGCATGCACAGGCTCCAGGTACCGACATGTTGCTCTGAGTGAGCTTGTCCTGCTTTGGGCCAAATTCTGTCAGGCCAGGGCCACAAGAGGCCGAGTCCCACGGGTGGTAATCCTGGCTGCTTTCTACACTTCCACACAAAGACCTCCTGAAGATGGCCTGTGGTCTACCTCTTTGCAACCAAGAAGCCCGCAGTGCCATATGAATCCTCAGGCATGGACTGGAGCCCCCGAGGAAGCACACACCCTGCTCCTGAGCCTGCTGCTCATTTTCTCTGTGTGGCTCCATTTGTGTCACAGTTGTTGCACAGACTTGTGCATGCTGGGCAAGGCCAAGCTGGCTCAAAAAGCAACCAGCCACCTCTGCAAGGTTGTGCCAGGAGCCGGTGGACCGGCCACCAACCTCACTCACTGCTTGTCAGGTTACATCAGTTATTCTACCCTAGAGGTAGGGCCACAGTGCCATATGCTTTTCCTCAGGCCTCTGCTCTATCAGTAATCAGGCGGCAACCACTCAGGCTGTGGGAACCTGGCCATCCCTCCTTCCTTGAGTAGCTGAGGTTGCTGGCTTGTCCGCCTACTACAGGCACAGCCTTGCAGATGTGGCTAGTTGCTCTGAGCCATCTTGGCCTTGCCTGGCATGCATAGGCCCCAGGTACTGACACTCTGCTCCGAGTCAGCTTGTCCTGCCTTGGGTCAAATTCTAAGTCTGGCCAGGGCCACAGAAGGCCCAGTCCCCTGGGTGCTAATCTTGGCTGCTTTCTGCACTTGAACATAAAGTCCTCCTCAAGACAGCCTGTGTTCTGCCTCTTGGCGACCAAGAAGCCTACAGTGCCATACGAGCCCTGAGGCATGGACTGGAGCCACAAAGGCAGTGCACGCCCCATTCCTGAGCCTGCTGATCATTTCCTCTATATGGCTCCATTTGTAGCACACTTGTTGCAGTGAGGCTTGTGCATGTCAGGCAAGGCCAAGCTGGCTGAAAGAGCAAGCAGCCACCTCTGCAAGGGTGTGCCAGGAGCAGATGGACCAGCTGCCAATCTCACTCACTGCCAGACGTGGTACATCAGTTCTTCTACCCTAAAGGTGGGGCCAAGATGCAGACCACAGGCCATCTTGAGGAGGACTTTATGTTCAAGTGCAGAAAGCAGGCAGGATTACCACCCTGGGTACTCGCCCTTCTGTGGCCTGCAGTGCCATATGAGCCATGAGGCATGGACTAGTGCCATCTGCTTTATACAAAAATTAACTTAAGATTGATTAAAGAGTTAAATATGCCACCTGCTTTTCCTCAGGCCTCTGCTCCATCAGGCATCAGGTGGCAGCTACTCATGCTGTTGGAACCTCACCATCCGGGCTTCCTTGAGTGGGTGAGGTTGCTGGCTTGTCTGCCTGCTACAGGCACAGCCTTGCAGAGGTGGCTGGTTGCTCTGAGCCAGCTTGGCCTTGCCTGGCATGCATAGGCCCCAGGTACTGACACTCTTCTCCGAGTCAGCTTGTCCTGCCTTGGGCCAAATTCTAAGTCTGGAGAGGACCACAGAAGGCAGAGTCCCCTGGATGGTAATCCTGACTACTTTCTGCACTTGAACATAAAGTCCTCCTCAAGACAGCCTGTGGTCTGCAGCTAGGCAACCAAGAAACCCGCAGTGCCATAGGAACCCTGAGGCATTGACTGGAGCCCCAAAGGCAGGGCACACCCTGCTTCTGAGCCTGCTGCTTGTTTCGTCTATGTGGCTCCGTTTGTTGCACAGTTATTACACTGAGGCTTGTGCATGCTGGGCAAACTCCAAGCCACTAGAATTTGGTCCAAGGCAGAACAAGCTCACTGGGAGCAGCGTGTCAGTACCTGGGGCCTGTGCATGCCAGGCAAGGCCAAGCTGCCTTAAAGAGCAAACAGCCTCCTCTGCAAGGGTGTGCCAGGAGCCGGTGGACCCACCACCAACCTCACTCACTACCGGTCAGGGTACATCAGTTGTTCTACCCTAGAGGTAGGGCCCAACTGCCATCTCCTTTTCCTCAGGCCTCTGCTTGATCAGCCATCAGGCGGTGGCCACTCATGCTGTGGGAACTTGGCCATCCCTGCTTCCTTGTGCAGCTGAGGTTGCTGGCTGCTCCACCTCCTCCAGAAGCACCCTTGCAGTGGTAGCTGGTTGCTCTTTGAGCCAGCTTAGCCTTGCCTAGCATGTACAGGCCCCAGCTACTGACACAGTACTCCGAGTGAGCTGGTCCTGCTTTGAGCCAAATTCTAAGTCTGGCCGGGGCCACAGAAGGCCGAGTCCCCTGGGTGGTAAACCTGGCTGCTTTCTGCCCTTGAACATAAAGTCCTCCTCGGCTGGTCTATGGTCTACCTCTTGGCAACCAAGAATCCTGCAGTCCCATACAAGCCCTGAGGCATGGACTGGAGCCCCAAAGGCAGTGCACACCCTGCTTCTGAGCTTGCTGCTCATTTCCTCTGTGTGGCTCCATTTTTAGCACAGTTGTTGCATTGAGGCTTGTGTATGCTGGGCAAGGCCAAGCTGGCTCAAAAAGCAACCAGCCGCGTTTGCAAGGGTGTGCCTGAAGTGGTTGGACTAGCCATCAACGTTGCCCACTCAAGGAAGCAGGAAATGCATGTTTGTACCATGCATTTCACTACAGGTCATTTCCCCTGAGGTTGGTGGCCTAGGTTTTCTTATAGATTTTTTATGGTTTTAGGTCTTACTTCTAACTCTTTCATCCATCTTACTTAATTTTTGTTTAAGGTGTATGGGTGTGGCCCAGTTTCAGTTTTCTGCATTTGGCTAGCCAGTTTTCCCAACACCATTTATTAAATAGGGTATCCTTTCCCATTGCTTGTTTTTGTCAGGTTTGTCAAAGATCAGATGCTTTTAAGTGTGTGGTGTCATTTCTGAGGCCTCTGTTCTGTTCCATTGGTCTATAGATCTGATTTGTTACCAGCCCCATGCTGTTTTGGTTACTGTAGCCTTGTAGAATAATTTGAAGTCAAGTACTGTGATGCCTCTAGCTTTGCTGTTTTTGCTTAGGATTTTCTTGGCTATGTGGGCTCTTTTTTGGTTCCATATGAAATTTAAAGTAGTTTTTCTAATTCTGTGAAGAAAGTAATGGTAGCTTGATGGGGACAGCAGTGAGTCTATAAATTACTTTGGGTGGTATAGCACTCAGGCACAGAAATGTCCTTGTGTTAGGCAATACCATTCAGGACATAGCCATAGGCAGAGTCTTCATCACTATAACACCAAAAGCAATGGCTACAAAAACCAAAATTTACAAATGGGATCTAACTAAACTTAAGAGTATCTGCAGTGCAAAAGAAACTATTATCAGAGTGAACAGGCAACCCAGAGAATGGGAGAAAATTGTTGCAATCTATCCATCTGACAAAGGGCTAATATGCAGAATCTACAAAGAACAAACTTACAAGAAAAAAAAAAAAAAAAACAACCCCATCAAAAAGTAGACAAAGGATATGAACAGACACTTACCAAAGAAGACATTTATACAGCCAACGAACATGTGAAGCAAAGCACATCATCACTGGTCATTAGAGAAATGGAAATCAAAACCACAATGAGATACAATCTCACACCACTTAGAATGGTCATCGTTAAAAAATCAGGAAAGAACAGATGCTAGAGAGGATGTGGAGAAATAGGAAAGCTTTTACACAGTTGGTGGGAATATAAATTACTTCAACCATTGGGGAAGACAGTGTGACAATTCCTCAAGGATCTACAACCAGAAATATCATTTGACCCAGCAATCCCATTACTGGGTATATACCCCCAAAATTATAAATCATTCTAATATAAAGACACATGCACCTGTCTGTTTATTACGGCACTGTTCACAACAGCAAAGACTTGGAACCAAACCAAATGCCCACCAATGATAGACTAGATAAAGAAAATGTGGCATATACACACCACGAAATACTATGCAGCCATAAAAAGGGATGAATTCACGTCATTTGCTGGGACATGAATGAAGCTGGAAACCATCATTTTCAGCTAACTAACAGAAGAACAGAAAACCAAACACCACATGTTCTCACTCATAACTGGGAGTTGAACAATGGGAACACAGGGACACAGGAAGGGGAACATCACACACCAGGGCCTGTCAGGGTGGGGGGCTAGGAGAGGGATGGCATTAGGAGAAATAACTAATGTAGATCATGGGTTGATGGATGCAGCAAGCCACCATGGCATGTGTATACCTATGTAACAAACCTGCATGTTCTGCACATGTACCCCAGAACTTAAAGTATAATTAAAAAAAAGAAATTTGCTTTTAATTAAGCTTTTAATCATAGAACTTGTAAAGAAAATCCTTTTGAATCTTTTATTACCACATCATAGCTGGGACAAACTGCTGACGCTTTAAAAGTAACACAAATATCAAACAGAAAGAACTAGACTTAGGAACCAAACTCAGGTTTCTGTAGTGAACAGGGCAGAATCTTCACATTGGGTCACCACCACTACTCCTTCAGTTTAGCCTTGGCTAGCAAAAGGGTGGCCTTGTTATGTAGATGAGACCACTTATGTAAAAAAAAAAAAAAGTTTTAAAAAATAATTTCTGCTAACTGGAATGTTTTTTGTTGTTGTTTATTTGTTTGTTTGTTTGTTTGCAGCCATAGGAGTTTTAGCCAATTCAGAGGCCTTGCTGCCCACAATTTGGAAAATTCCTTTGGATTTGACCAAGTCAGGAAGAGACGGGAGAAAAGTGAAACAACAACAATAAAGCCCCAAGCATAAACAGACAAAAAGAGTTAAGCAAAACAACAAATGCACAATTCATATGATTACTGAGTGTTCTAATGGTAAGGAGAAACTAAAAGCAGAAATTAAAAGCAGCTGGTGAGTAATCTTAAATTTTAGTCATTAAGGAAAAATTTTAAGACAAAACTCTAATTCAGCTACTTACCTGGAAACAAGGCTCAGGCTGGGGATCGTTCTCTGCCATCTTAGAAGCTGGAAACAACTTACACTCACCTTCCCTGTCAGAAGCAAGCTGAAACTCAGGAAAGGAGGTGCCTGCTCTCCATCACCACAGAAGCAGGAAAACTTGCCTTCCTTGTTGGAAATGAGTAAAACTTCAGAAAAGGAGTTGTACAGCAAAATCAAACTTAGATCTCAACCAGATTTTGGGAGATCAGGGACTCTTTGCAGGGGAGAAGCTCCACAACCTCAGCAAATTATCCTGTTGGTTTGGGCAATAAAGATAGCCCAGGTTGGTAGCAATCAATAATGAGATTTATCAAAGGTCAGGACCACCTTTGTAATGTCCTTCTCTGTCTTTTTTTATCTTTATTGGTATATACGTTTTGTCGAAACTGAGGGTGTAACACCTGATTTCTTCTGTTTTCCATTGGCTTGAAAGATTTTTCACCATTCCTTCATTTTGAGCCTATGTATGGCACTGCAGGTGAGATGGGTTTCTTGGAGACGGCATACTCAAATGGGTCTTGGTTCTTTATCCAGCTTGCCCCCCTGTGTCTTTCAATCGGAGCATTTGGCCCATTTCCATTTAAGGTTAGTAATGGTATGTGTGGATTAGATCCTGTCGTCCTGCTGTCAGCTAGTTATTTTGCAGACTTGTGTGTGTGGTTGGTTTTTAGCATTACTGGTCTGTGTACTTCGGTGCATTTTTGTAGTGGCTGGTGATGGTCTTTTCTTTCCATATTTAGTGCTTCATTCAGGAGCTCTTGTAGATCTGGTGATAATGAATTCTCTCAGCATTTGCTTGTCTGAAAAGGATCTTGTTTCTCCTTCACTTATGATGCTTAATTTTGCTGGACATGAAATTCTGGGTTGAAATTTCTTTTTCTTTTAACCATTTATAATAACACCATGTTATTATATGGTATATCTGTCTCTGCCATACTACGTGAAATTTCTTTTCTTTAAGAAGTTGAATATCTTTTCTGGCTTGTAGGGTTTCAGCTGAGAAGTCTGCTAAGTCTGATGGAATTCCCTTTGCAGGTGACGTTGCCTTTCTCCCTGGCTGCCTTTAACATTGTTTCTTTCATTTTGACCTTGGAGAATCTGATGATTATATGTCTTGGGGATGATCTTCTCGTGGCTTATCTTACTGAGGTTCTCTGGATTTCCTGAATTGGAATGTTGGCCTGTCTGGATAGGTTGGGGATATTCTCATGAATGATATTCTGACGTATGTTTTCCAAGTTGGTTCCATTCTCCTCATCTCTTTCACGTACACTAATCAGTCATAGATTTTGTCGTTTATATAATCTCATATTTCTTGGATGTTTTGTTCATTCATTTTCCTTCTTTTTTCCCCCATTCTTGTCTGCCTGTTTTATTTCAGAAAGCCAGTTTTCAAGCTCTGGGATTCTTTCCTCTGCTTGGTCTATTCTGCTGGGTGGTCTTGCACATGAGATGGAGCTGGTGTGACCTCAGCCCTCCTTAGTCTGCTTGCCTCTCCCAGGACCCCAGCCTGGCCACACCTGCTTACAGGGCAATCTCGGGTGCCCACAAACACTACAATAATTTTCATAATGCAATCACACATAATCACTATGTGACTGCATTATGAAAATTCTTGTAGTGTGCTTTTCAGCTCTATTAGGTCGGTTATGTCTTCTTTATACTTGCTATTTTGTCTGTTAGCTCCTACAATGTTTTACAATGATTTTTAGCTCTGTTGTATTGCATGACAACATACTTCTTTCACTCAGTGAACTTTGTTCCTACGCATATCCTGAACCCTGCTTGTATCATTCCAGACATCTCAGCCTCAGCCCAGTTCTGAACACTTGCTGGAGAGTTGATACAGTCATTTGGAGGAAAGAAGGCATGCTGACTTTTTGAGTTTTCAGTGTTCTCACACAGATTCTTTCTCATCTTTATGGGCTTATCCACCTTCCATCTTTGAGGTTGCTGACCTTCGGACAGGGTATTTTTCTTTTATTGTATTTGATGATCTTGAGGGTTTCATTGTGGGATAAGGTGGATTCAACCAACTGGCTTTGTTTTTGGAGGATTTTAGGGGGGCCAATGTGCAGCTCCCAATTCCTGGACTTTGTGCTTTAACTCTGGGGAACTTGTCTTGAGCCCCAACTTTGTTCTCTGGCTCTTGGAGGTTTGGAGTCCACTGCACTGAGGGGACCAAAGTGTGTCAACTGTGGCAGAATGCTAGTGGATGCAAAAGTCCCTGCCTCCCTGCGGGCGTTCACCCAGTGGTGGAGGCAAGACAGCTGGGGTGTGGGCCAGGGGTCCCCTGCTGTGTGTGTGTTGCACTGGAGGTAGTGTTGGTTCAGGGTGGGCTGCTGGCCAGTGCAGGCCATGGTGCCTTCTCTGTGCCCCTCAAAGCAACCGTGGTCACTCAGGTTATAAGAAGGTCCCTTTTTCTCTGCACAGCATTAGCTCAAGGGTTAGGTGCTGGCAGGGGTGGGGTTCTTGGTTCTGTGCCCACCAAGGCTCTGTCTTCAATGGCAGTTGGTGTGGGTTGGGGTGTGTCCTGCACTCCCCTGTGCTGTCAGGGCAAGTACAGCAAAACCCACATGTGTAAACACACACAGCAAAGTGATGTAGGAAGTTTCCATATAAAGGGCTGCAGTACGGAGAGGTAATGTGCAGGCTGGTGCGTGGCTGTTGGGGCCACCTTGCTGCAGCTCTCCACTGATCAGGTACAGTCCACTAGCATGGAAGCTATGCTGTGGGCATCCGAGAGTGCCCTGTATGCAGGTGTGGCCAGGCTGGGGTCCTGGGAGAGGCAAGCAGACTAAGGAGTGCTGATATCAGACCAGCCCCATCTCATGTGCAAGACTGCCCAGCAGAGATCAGGTCTCAGAGGAGAACTCTCTCAAAAGTGAACCCCCGGCACAGCATAGCTGCTTTACACAAACATGGCCAGGCTTCTGTTTTAAGCAAGTCCCCTTTTTGAAGAGGGGAACTCTGGGACCTGATCTCTGCTGGGCAATCTTGAACATGAGATGGGGCTGATCTGAACTTAGCATTCCTAAAGTGCTGGGATAAAGTATCTCACAAGGGCACGTGGAGCCTAGAGAGATAGCTGTCCCTGCCCTCTGGGCTCCACATCACCTGACTTGCTGCTCCACCACTCTGCTTGTCTCCTGGGTGCTCCATCCCATAGAGATGTGAGTTAGCAATCACTTAGCGTAATCAGCCCAGGATGGAGGGTCTGTATTGTGAGGTCAAGCCAGTGTTCCCTCTCTGGTGATGAGCAGTGGGGGGTGTGTGGTACCCGTGGGAGATGGACTGGCTTGTTCATTGGGTCAACCGCAGCTTATTGGAGGTGTCAATATGGCACTTAGGGTCTTTGCTCCCTTGATATTCTGAGGGTAGAAAGGGCAGTTTCACTGCAGAGGCAATGGAAGAGAGAATTTCGTTTGCTCCTGGAAGCTCTGTCCAGGGAATTGCTGAGTTGCTACTGGCTGGATAGCTCTGATGGTGGACTGGCTGGAGACCCAGGTCAGTAGGACCTGCCCATCAAGTAGACTGTCTGGCCACTTTTCTGTCAGGCTGCTGTGGTATGCTGGGGGTCCCCTCCAGTCCCTAATTGCCTTGTATTTTCCAGGGAAGATGATAGCCTGCCCCTTCCTCTGGGAGCTCTGTGCCACTGAGGTACGAACTTGTTGCCAGTATGAACACACCTATAAGATGTGACTGGAGACAAGTTGAGAAGTCTTATCTAGTCAGGAGGAACAAAAACAGGCACTGACTTAAAAAAAAAGTCTGGGCACGTTTTTCTAGAGCAGCTGTGCTATGCCGGGTGTTCACTTCCACTCCTGGTTGCCTCAGACACTCTGAAGCCCTAATGCTGAAATGGCTGAGTTGCCCCAACAGCAAAGACAACAGTCTGGTCCTCCCCCTGGGAGCTCTGACTCAGGGAGGCCTGAAACCTCTGTCGGCCAGAGAACAGCAGTGAGGGCAGCTGGAGACCCTGGTTGAAAGCCTTCACCTGCTGATTAGAAATGTGGTCGGGGACTGACTTAAACAAGAGTCTGGCCACGTTTTTGTAGTGTGGCCGTGCTGCGCTGAGGTTCCTCTTCCACCCCTTGTCACCTTGGGCTTTCCAAAGCCCGCAAACCAGAACGGCTAGTCACCCAAACAGCAAAGGTGGTGGCCTGCCCCTCTCTCTGGGAGCTCTGTCCCGTGAACACTTCAAATTTCTATTGGCCAAGGAATGCTGGTGGTGGTAGCTGGAGGCCCCATTTGGGAGGTCCTGTACAGTGATGTGCAACAAGGTCGGGGGCCTGCTTACAGAAGCATTCTGGCCATGATTTGGTAAAGCAGCTAGCTGTGCTGTGGGATCTCTTCTGCCCCTTGTCGGTTTATACTCTCCAAAGCCCTCAGGCTGGAATGACTAAGTTGCCTGAACAGGAAAGATGGCGGCCTGCCCCATCTATTCTCTCAGAGTTCATCTTGTTTGATGGAGCTTAATTTTTAGCCTGTTAATTTTACTGTCTACATTAGACTTGTTCGGAAAGAATCTGCTATATTTTAGGTTAGATATATGAGAATTCATTGTTTTCTGTAAATAAACCTGTTCATGTCTTGTTCTCTGGAAAGAAATCTCTTTCAACTATCTGACTTTGGTCACAGTCATATAGAGCAGTAGCCAGTCTATAATGACATAATTGAATTTCCATTTCCAGTGTTTTGTTTTTGTGTCTTACATTGTACAGTTCAGAAATGAGCATTTTATTCCCAATTGTCAAAAAGCTAAGCTGTCCACTGTACTGAAATACTGTTTTTGTTAATGCTTCGTCATTCAATTTTTTAAAGGTGAACACTTTTATCCAACTTTTCTCACGTCAGAGTACAGGTAAGCCCTGGCTGCCTTGAGCCACTCTCAGGGAGACCAAAACCCTTCATACATTACAAGTTGGGGTACAAAAAAGTGGGGCCATGAAGGCTAGTCATTCAAAATAAAACAAAATTTGAAAGTATTAAGGCAAAGATTTAAAAAATTTTGCATTATGTAATTTACACAAAAGCAATGCTATCGCCTACCATGTGTGAACTCGGGAGAGGACTGGGCCATTCTCCTTAGAGAGAAGTAGGGTGGCTTTTAGGAGGGCAAGGGGCTTCCTGAAACAATGCATCTCACAATATTTGGAATGACTATTGAAAATAAGAACATTGTACAATCAAAGTCCTTGGCGACATTGTAGAACTAGCGGGTGCTGACCCCTGAGCCACAACCACAGTTCTGGGTTTGGGGTTTGGTAAAACCACCCCAAGGACAGAGTTCTGGGGCCGGGTTTTGGAGGAACCAAGGCGCCTCCCAGGGATGGTGTGTCACTCCTGCTTGCCATGAAATGTGCACACAGGCTGTCCCCCTGCCCATCCCATCCTGCTGGACAGGATGGAGGAAGTGAGGGAACAGGCAGGGTGGACAGCTGGAATTCAGGGAGAGGCAGGTGCATGCTGGGAGGTCAGGACCTGTGAGGGCTGTGGGGGCATCAGGTGGAGTGGGCTCCAGGTGCACCCTCAGTGCACAGGGCAAGTCTCAGGCCAGGCTCCCTGGACCCCGGCTGGGTGATGTGGTCACTCCCTGGGGGACTGCTGTCAGACCCTGGCCACCCTCCCTGGGCAGCACCGTCCCATCCCAGAACTGGACTTTCTGAGTCCTAAAACAGGACAGTGCTGCCCAGGCCTGACAGACTGGGAGGACCTGTGAAGTCCTCCATCCCTAGACCAGCCTCCCAACAGCAGGGACAGTCTCCTACCTTTACCTTCAGGTAAAGGTACTGATACATCTCATTCTAAGGCAACCAAGGCAGAGCTGAGGACCTGTGCCAGGCTGGGAGCCAGTCCTCTCCCTAAATGGGCCTTAGGGAAGCCTCATCCCTGTCCCAGTGCACTGCAAGTTTCAGCCCAGGAGACACATAGGGAAGTGAGGAAGGGGCCTCCCCACTGGCTGACCCTGGAAAAGTGGGACCTGGGAGAAGAGGGAGTGCAGGGCTGGCAGGGGATGCTCCAGGCCCATGGAGAGCTCAGGCTGCACCAAGGGGCTGCCCCTCCTGGGCTGGAGGCTGTGCTCTCTACAGTATCTGAGGAAGTCCAGTCCTGAGATGGGACAGTGCTACCCAGGGTGGGTGGCCAGCACCTGACAACAGTCTCCCAGCAAGTGACCACATCACCCGGCCAAGGTCCAGGGAGCCTGGGCCAAGACCTGCCCAGTGCGCTGAGGGTGCACCTGGAGCCCACACCACCTGACGCCCCCACAACCCTCATAGGGTCTGACCTCCCAGCATGCACCTGCCTCTCCCTGAAACCAAGCTGCCCAACCTGCCTGTTCCCTGGCCTCCTCCATCCTGTGCAGACCATAGACTGTGACTATCTCTCCGACCACTCTGGCCCTTCCTTTACCTTTGTCCTGTCAGAATCTCTGAGCAAGATCTCCCAGGTCCATCCAAACACCTGCTTTGTCCAGTTTTGACTGGGCCACTGAACACCACTGGGCCACCCCAGCTGTCCACAGGCTCCTCGATAACATGCATTTCCCCTGACATCTCCCAGCAGTACTCAGCAGCCCCCACTGACCAGGTCCCTGGTGACCAGATCCAGCATATCACTTCCTCCCTGACCACACCCTCACTGATTAGAGCCCCATCACCAGGCCTCACTAACTAGATTCCCGCTGCCAGGCCCACAATGACCAGGACTCCACTGACGAGGACCTTACTGACAAGGCCTCACTGGCAAGGCCTCACTGACGAGGTCCTTACTGACAAGGCCTCACTGATCAGGTTCCGCCGATCATGACCTCATCGTCTGGTCCCACAGACGAAGCCCCACTGACCAGGCCTGCAGGGAATAGGCAGCCAGTGACCAGGCCCCTGCTAACCAGGACTGAGGTGACAAGATGCCCCTGACTGGGACCCTAATGACTACGCCCCACTGAACAGGCACACACTGCTCAGATCCCCGCTGACCAGGTCACCCCGTAGACCAGTGCTACAAAAGCCACCAATGATCAAGTCCTCTCTGACCAGGCCCCCACTGATTAAGTTCCACGGACCAGCCTGCCCTGACCAGGGCCCCACTGACAAGCGTCTCTGCTGACTCGGTCCCAAGGTCTCCACTGACCAAGTCCCACAGCCCAGATTGGCACTGACCAGACACCAAACATTTGTCTACCACTATCAACCCACTCACCAAGACATACACTACTAGATCCCTCTAATGAGACCCGCTCTAAGCAGACCCCTGCTGACCACCCCCCACTAAATAGGCCTCACTGACAAGTCCCAACTGACTAGGTCCACTGAGCAGGCCCACACTGATCAGGCCCCTCCTAACCATATCAGAAGACCAAGAGGCAATGAGATGTTTCATATGGCAGGAGTAGGAGCAAGACAGAGAGGGGAAAGAGGTGTGACATCCTGTTAGACAACCAGATCACATGAGAACTCACTATCAGGAGATCAGCATCAAGAAGACTAACCAATGGTGAAGGATTCTCCAACCACACCACTGCCCACTGCTTCCAGGCAGAAGCCTCCTGCAGAGGCAGAACCTCTTATGAAACTTCCACTATGGCAGCGCAGAAAGAAAATATAGGCTTTGAGCCCCCACACAAGAGGCCACGATCCTCCAGACTCCAGATTAATAAGCCCACCAACAGCTCACACTCTCAGTATGGAAAAGCTACAGGCACTCAACACCAACCCAGCCCATGAGATCAGCCATGGGGGCTACACCCTGCAAAGCCACAGGTGCACTCTCCTGGTAGAGGTTTCCCATGAGCCTCTGCCTCTGCAGCAGGTTACTCCCACCTTCCCACCACCCTACTGACAACCTACTCCTCCCCACACTATCCCTCCTTTTCCTTCCACCCCAACCCCCTCCCATCCAAGATTAAGTCACCTCCCACCTGGCCCACCTCCAACATTAAGGATGACATGTGAGTTTTATAGGGACACACAGCCAACTCATATTATTCTGACCCTGATTCCCCAGAACCTCATGTCCTTCTCACAGAGCAAAACACAATCATGCCTTTTCAAAAGTTTCTAAAAGTCTTAACTCATTCCGAATGTAAAAATTTCAAAATCTCATCTGAGACAAGGTTACAGTCCCTTCTGCCAATGAGTCCCTGAATTTAAAAGGGATTTCTTTTCCTTCAAGGTAGAACAGGTATTGGATAAGGTTTCTCAATCCAAAGGGAAGAAGTTGCCCAGAAAAATAACACAAATGCAAGTCCAAAACCCAGCAAGACAGTATTCACTCAATCTCACAGCTCCAAAATCATCAAGAGAACTCACTGTCGTGCGGACAGCATTAAGGAGATAGAGTTTACTCATTTGTGAAGAATCTGCCCCCCACCCTCACCTTTCACTCCCTCCCACAAAATAATCTCTCCCATTCTCCCCACACCCCTACCTCCAACACCCACTCTTCTCCATGATTAAATCACCTCCCACCAGGTCCCACCTTTAACATTCCCCACTACAATTCCACATGAACATTGGTAGGGACACAGAATCAAATCATATTATTCTGGCTCTTGCTCCCCAAATCTTGTATCCTTGTCACACTGCAAAATACACTGATGATTTCTCTACTGTCCCCCAATGACTTAACTCATTCCAGCATTTACTGAAATGTACAAAGACTTACAGACCCCATGCAAGTCAAAAACCCAGCAGGCCAGTCATTGAATCCTACAGCTCCAAATCATCTTTTCTGAATCTACATCTCACATCTAGAGCACAGGTGTGTGATGCCTGGGCTTCCAAGGCCTTGGGTAGCTCTGCACCTGTGGCTGTGCAGGGTCTATACCCCACAGCTGCCCTCATGGGCTGGGCTGATGTTGAGTGCCTGTAGCATTTCCATACTAAGGGTGCCAGCTGTTGGTGAGTCTATGAATCTGGAGTCTGGAGAACGGTGCCTCCATATTTAGGGACTCCAGCCCTAAATTCTCCTTCTGTACTGCCCTAGTAAAAGTTTCCCATGAGGCTCTGCCTCTTGGAAAAGATTCTGTGTGAACACCCAGGTTCTTCCGTGCATACTCTGGAGTCTAGACAAAGGCTTGCAAGCGTCTAGTTTTGTGCTGTGTGCAGCTGCTGGCTTAACACTATGTGGAAACCACCAAGCCTTGGAGCTTGCACCCCTGAAGCAGTGATGCAAGCAGTACCTGTGCATCTTTCAGCCAAGGCTGGAGCTGGAGCTTCAGGAATGCAGCCAGCAGTGTCCTGAGGTTGGACATAGCAGTGGGGCCATGGGGCTGGAGAAGGAAACCATTCTTTTCTCCCAGGCCTCAGGGCCTGTGATAGCAAGGGCTGCTGCAAAAGTCTCTGAAATGCCTTCAAGACCTTTTTAATATTGTATTGGCTATTAGCACTGAACTCCTTTTTATGCACATTTCTGAAGACTTTTTGAACTTTCCCACTGATAATCAGCTTTTCTTTTTGGCCACTTGGCCAGGCTTCAAATTATCCAAACTTTTAAGCTCTCCTTCTCATTTAAATACAAGTTTCACCTTGAGGTCATTTCTTTGGTCACATATAGGACCACAGGCTGTTCGACACAGACAGGAAACCTCTTAAGCTTTGCTGCCTAAAATTTCATTCCACCAAATACACTCTAAATTATCACCCTGATGTTCAAAATTTCACAGGTCTCCAGGTTAGGGGCATCGTGCAGCAACATTCTTTGCTAAGGAAAAAACAAAAGTGACCTTGACTCCTGTTCCCAGCAAGCTCCTCATTTTCATGTGAGACCTTCTAAGCCTGGTGATCACTGTCCATCCTTCTGTCACCTTTTTAATTATAACTATTTAACAAGTCTCTACACTGATCCAAACTTTTCCTCATCTTCCTGTCTTCTTCCAAGACCTCCAAACTCTCCAACCTCTGGCCATTACACACTTCTCAACCTGCTTCTACATTTTCAGCTACGTTTGTCACAGCCTGGCAATGTGGTAAAAGAAGAAAAGTCCATTTCAGGAGAAAAATTAACGCAGGCTTCAGACATTTGCCTGAAAAGAAGCTGAGTGCTGATTGCCAAGAGAATAGGAAAAAGGCCTTGAAGGCATTTCATAGTTCCACTTTATGGCATTATTTTTCTGTATAATCAGAAAGAAAAGAGGTTGAACTGGCTCATGGTTCTGCAAGCTTTAAATAAATCATAGAGGCTTCTGCTTCTGGGAGGACTCAGGAAGCCTCCCAATCATACCAGAAGACCAAGCAGCAATGGGATGTTTTATATGGCAGAAGTAGAAACAAAACAGAGAGAGGAAAAAGGTGCCACACGTTGTATAACCCTGTTATACAACCAGATTTCCTGAGAACTCACTATCACAAGGTCAGTATCAAGAAGATGTTGCTTAATCATTGGTGAAAGTTCTGCCCCCTACCACCCACACCCCTCACTGTTTCCAGGCAGAAGCCTGAGGAAGAGGCAGAGCCACTAGGAAAACCTCTAATAGGGCAGAGCAGAAAAAGTATATGGGCTTGGAGGCCCCACACAGGAGGTTACCATCCTCAGACCCCAGATTCATAGACTCACCAACAGCTTGCACTCTCAGTATGGAAAAGCTACAGCCACTCAATAACAGCCCAGCCTATGAGGTCAGCCATGGGGGCTACACCCAGCAAAGCCATAGGTGCACTGCCCTGGTGGAGGTTTTCCTTGAGGCTTTGCCTCTGCAGCAGGCTACTCCCCCTTAATACTGCCCACGAACCTCTCACCACCCTACTGCCAGCCTACTCCTCCCCATCCTACCCATTTGTTTTCCCTTCCACCCCTACCAACCTCCCGTTTGTGATTAAATCACCTCCCAGCAGGCCCAACCTACAACTGTCAGGAATACAATTCCCCATGAGTTTTTGTAGGGAAACACAGCCAAACCATATTATCCTGACCCTGACACCCCCACATCTCATGTCCTTCTCACACAGAAAAATACAAACATGCCTTTTCAAAAGTTTCAAAAAGTCTTAACTCATTCCAGCAGTAACTCAAATGTAGTAAGTTCAAGTCTCATCCAAGACAAGGCTACAATCCCTTCTGCCTATGAGTCCCTGAATGTAAAAGACAATTCTTTTCTTTCAAGTTACAATGATGGCACAGGCACTGGGTAGGCTTTCTTAAACCAAAGGGAAGGGTTTCCTAGAAAAATAACACAAATGGGACACAGGCCCAATCCGACTCCAAAACCCAGCAGGACAGCATTCATTTATCACAAGAACTCACTGTCACACAGACTGCATTAAGGAGATAGTATTTAACCATTTGTGAAGGATCTGACACCCATCCCCATGTTTCACCCTCACCCACACCATGAACCTCCATTCTCCCACATCCCCCTTCCAACCCCCATTCTCTACCATGATTAAATCACCTTCTACCAAGCCCCACACTTAACATTCCCCATTATAATTCCACATGAGTTTTGGTAGGGACACAGAGCCAAATCGTATTATTCTCCCTTTGGCCCCCCAATCTCACATCCTTCTCATACTGCAAAATACAATGATGCATTCTCTACAGTCCCCCAATGTCTGAACTCATTCCAGCATTTACTCAAATGTCCATTTGTGAAGGATCTACCCCCTACCCCTGCCTTTCACCCCAACCCCACCACAATCGCCCCCAACCCTCCCCACCCCTTAATCCCCCCAACCCTCCCCACCCCCCAACCATCTAACCTCCACTCTTCAACATGATTAACTCACCTTCCACCAGCCCCCACCTTTAACATTTCCCATTAAAATTCTACATGAGTTTTGGTAGAGACAGAGCCAAAACATATTATTCTGTCCCTGGTCCCCCAAAGTTCATGTCTTTCTCACATTGCAAAATGCAATGAGGCCTTCCCTAGAGTCCCCCAAATCTTAACTCATCCCAGCATTTACTCAAATGTCCAAAGGCCAAAGTCTCCTCTGAGACAAGGCTGCCATATCTTCTGGCCTGAGCCTCTGAAATACAAAGCAAGTTAACCACTTCCAAGTTACAATGATTGTACAGGCATTGGGTAAGCATTCCAAGCCAAATAGAAGAAATTTCCCAGAAAGAAGCACAAAACACAGATGGGACTTACACACCCCCTGCAAGTCAAAAACCCAGCAGGCCAGGCATTCCATCATACAGCTTCAAATCATCTTTTTGGAATCTATGTCCACATCCAGAGCACAGGGTTTTGTGATGGCTGGGATCCCAAGGCCTTGGGCAGCTCTGCACATGTGGCATTGCAGAATCTCCCCCCTACAGCTGCCGTCATTGGCTAGGCTGGTGTTGAGTGCCTGTAGCTTTTCAACACTAAGGGTGCAAGCAGCTGGTGGGTCTATGATACTGGGGTCTGGAAAATGGTGCCTCCCTGTATGGGGACTCCAACCCTATATTTTCCTTTTGTACTGCCCGAGTAGAGGTTTACCATGAGGCTCTGCCTCTTGGAAAAGCTTCTGGCTAGACACTCAGGATTTCTGATATATACTCTGGAGTCCAGACCAAGGCTCTGAAGCTTCTAGTCCTGTGCTTTATGCACCTGCTGGCTTAACACTATGTGGAAGCCACCAAGGCTTGGAGCTTGCATCCTCTGAAGCAGTGACGCAAGCTGTACCTGTGCATCTTTCATCTATGGCTGGGGCTGGAAAAGGAGCTGCAAGGATGCAGGCAGCAGTGTCCTGAGGCTGCACACAGCAGTGGAGCCATGGGGCTGGGCCAGGAAACTATTCTTTTCTCCTAAACCCCAGGGCCAGTGACAGCAAGGGCTGCTACAAAGATCTCTGAAACGCCTTCAAGGCCTTTTTCCCATTGTCTTGAATTATTAGCACTGGGCTCCTTTTTATGCAAATATCCGAAGGCTTCTTGATTTTCCCCCTGAAAATCAGCTTTTCTTTTTGACCATTTGTCCAGATTACAAATTTTCCAAATGTTGAAGCTCTGCTTCTCATTTAAATATAAGTTCCAACTTATGGTAATTTCTTTCATCACACATAGGAGCACAGGCTGTTCGACGTAGGCCGGACAACCCTTCAGCTTTGCTGCTTAGAAGTTCATTCCACCAGATACACCCTAAATCATCACCCTAAAGTTCAGTTTCACAGATCTCCAGGGAATGGTCACTGTGTAGCCAATTACTTTGCTAAGGCAAAAGAAAAAAACCTTGACTCCTTTTCCCAGTAAGTTCCTCATCTTCATCTGAGACCTTACAAGCCTGGCCTTCAGTGTCCATCCTTCTGTCAGCCTTTTAATCATAACTATTTAACAAGTCTCTGCAATGGTCCAAACTTTCCCTCATCTTGCTATCTTCTTCCAAGCTCTCCAAACTCTCTAACCTCTGGCCATTACCCAATTTGGAACCTGCTTCTACACTGTCAGCTATCTTTGTTGCAGCCTGGCAATATGGTAAAAGAAGAAAAGTCCATTATCAGGGGAAACATCAAGATGGCCTCCAATATTTGCATTGAAAAAAGCTCAGTGCTAATAGCCAAGAGAATGGGGGAAACGCCTAGAAGTCATTTCATAACTTCACTTCACAGCATTAATTTTCTGTATCTACATAAAGAAAAGAGGTCTAATTGACTCACAGTTCTTCAGGCTGTAAAGAAAGCATAGTGGTTTCTGCTTGTAGGAGGACTCAGAAAGCCTCCCAATTATACCAGAAGGCCAAGCGGCAATGAAATATTTCATATGGCAGGAGTAGAAGCAAGACAGAGAGAGGAAAGAGGTGAGACAACCTGTTATACAACTAGATCTCATGAGAGCTCACTATCAGGAGATCAGCATCAAGAAGATTGTGCTTAACTGTTGGTGAAGGATCTGCCCACCTCCCCATATCCACCACCCACTGTTTCCAAGCAGAAGCCTGAGGCAGAGACAGATCCCCTTGGAAAACCTCTACTAGGGCAGTACAGAAGGAAAATATGGGCTTGGAGCCCCCACGCCTCCATCCTCCAGACCCAAGAGTCATGGACTTACCAACAGCTCACACCCCCAGTATGGAAAAGCTTCAGGTACTCAACACCAGCCCAGCCCATGAGAGCAGCAGCAGGTGCTAAACCCTGCAAAGCCACAGGTGCAAAACCACAGGTGCACTGCCTTAGTAGAGGTTTTCCATGAGCCTCTGCCTCTGTGGCAGTCTACTCCCTTCCTGCTACACACCACCCTACAGCCAGCCTACTCCTCCCCACCTTACCCACCTGTTTTTACTTCCAACCCCACCCCTCTCCCATCCATGAATAAGTCACCTCTCACCAGGCCCCACCTGCAACATTCGGGATTACAATTACATGTGAGTTTAGGTAGGGACACACAGCTAAACCATATTATTCTGACCCTGATCCCCCAAATATCCTATCCTTCTCACAGAGTAAAATATAATCATGTCTTTTCAAAAGTTGCCAAAAGTCTTAAGTCATTTCAGCATTAACTCGAATGTAAAAAGTTCCACGTCTCACCTGAGAAAAGGCTACAGTCCCTTTTGCCTATAAGTCCCTGAATTTAAAAGGGAGTTCTTTTCTTTCAAGGTACAATGATGGTACAGGCATTGGGTAAGTTTTCTCAATCCAAAGGGTAGGGGTTTGCCAGGAAAATAACACAAATGGAATTACAGGGCCAATGCAAGTCCAAAACCCAGGAGACAAGTATCCATTAAATCTCACAGCTCCAAAACCGTCACGAGAACTCACTATCATGAGGAAAGGATTAAGGAGATGCTGTTTAACTATTTGTGAGGGATCATACCCCCACCCCCACTTTTCACCCCTCACCGCCAGCATAATCCACCCATCCTCCCCAATCTCCATCTTGCAACACCCAGTGCCCTCCATGATTAAATCACCTTCCACCTGGCCCCAATTTTAACATTTCTGATTACAATTCCACATGAGTTTCCATAGCGACACACAGCCGAATCTTATTATTCTGTCCCTGCCTCCCCAAATCTCATGTCCTTCTCACTTTGCAAAATACAGTGATGCCTTACTTACAATTCCCCAAGCCACTATGCTTTTTTTTACAGCCTGCAGAACCATCAGCCGATTAAACCCCTTTTTGTTATGATCATACAGAAAATTAGTACTGTGAAGTGAAGCTATGAAACGCCTTCAATGACTTTTCCCCATCGTCTTGGCTAAGACCTCCAAGGTCTTAACTCATTCCAGCATTTACTTCAATGTCTGAAGCCCAAAGTCTCATCTGAGACAAAGATGCAGTCCCTTCTGTTCCTGAGCCTCTGAAATACAAAGAAAGTTAACTATTTCCAAGGTATGATTGTCCAGGCATTGAGTAAGAATTCCCACCCTAAAGGAAGATTTTTGCCAGAGAGAACAACGAAACACAAACGGGACTTACAGGTCCCAGGAAAATCCAAAACCCAGCAGGCCAGTTACTCAAACTTACAGCTCCAAAGTCATCCTTTTTTAATCCTTGTCCCACATCCAGGGCACAAGGGCATGAGGGCTGGACTCCCAAGGCCTTGGGCAGATCTGCACCTGTGTCTTTGCAGTTTTCAGTCCCCACAGCTGTCCTCATGGCCTGTGCTGGTGTTGAGTGCCTGTAGTTTTTACGCACAGAGTGTACAAAGCTCTTGGTGGGTCTATGAATCTGGGGTCTGCATATGGTGGCCTCCAGTGTGGGGGCTCCAACCCCATATTTTCCTTCTGCACTGCCCTAGTAGAGGTTTCCCAGGAGGCTCTGCTTTTTTGGCAGCCTTCTGTCTGGACACTCAGACATTTTCATACATCTTCCAAAATCTATATGAATACTCTGAAGCCTCTGGGCTGGTGCTCTATGGACTTGCTGGCTTAAGACTATGTGGAAGCCGTGAAGCCTTATAGCTTGTACCCTCTGAAGCAGTGATGCAATCTGTACCTGTGCATCTTTCAGCCAAGGTCGGAGCAGGAGCTGCGGCTGCTGGGATGCAGGCAGCAGTGTCCTGAGGCTGCATACAGCAGCAGGGCCATGGGGCTGGCCCCAGAAACCATTCTTCTCTCCTAGGCCCCAGGGTCTGTGACACCAAGGGCTGCTGCAACCATCTCTGAAATGCCTCCAAGGCTTTTCCCCCCCATTGTCTTGGCTATTAGCACTGGCCTCCATTTTATGCAAATTTCTGGAGCCTTCATGAATTTTCCCCCTGAAAATCAGCTTTTCTTTTTGACCACTTGGCCAGGCTGCAAATGGTTCTAAACTTTTGATCTCTGCTTGTCATTTAAATATAAGTTCCAACTTGAGGTCATTTCCTCAGTCACACATAACCTTGGTCACACAAGAACACGGGCTGTTTGATGCAGACAGGATTCCCCTTGTGCTATGCTGCCTAGAAGTTCATTCCACCAGATATGCACTAAATCATCACCCTCAAGTTCAAAGTTTCACAGATCTCGAGGGCAAGGTCGCCCTGCAGCCATGTTCTTTGCTACAGCAAAACAAAAGTAACCTTGGCTCCTGTTCCCAGTAATTTCCTCATTTTCATCTGAGACCTTGTAAGCCTGGCCTTCACTGTCCATCCTTCTGCCAGCCTTTTAATCACAACTATTCAACAAGTGCCTACGATGGTCCAAAATTTCTTTCATCTTCCTGTCTTCTTTCAAGCTCTCCAAACTCTCCAACCTCTGGCTGTTACCCACTTCTGAACCTGCTTTACGTTTTCAGCTATCTTTGTTGCAGCCTGACAATGTAGAAGAAAAAGAAGTCCATTTTCAGGGGGAAACTTCAAGAAGGCTTCAGATATTTGCATTAAAAAGAAGTCCAGTGCTAATAGCCAAGACGATGGGGAAATGTCATTGAAGATATTTCATAGCTCCACTTCGCAGTACTTTATTTTCTGTATGATCATAATGAAAAGGGGTTTAATTGGTTCATGGTTCTGCAGGCTGTAAAGAAAGCATAGTGGCTTCTGCTTCTGGGAGGACTCAGGAAGACTCCCAATCATACCAATAGGAAAACAGCAATGAAATATTTCATATGGCAGGAGTAGGAGCAAGGCTGAGAGAGGAAAGAGGTGCCACTCTGTTATATAACCAGATCTCATGAGAACTCACTATCACTAGGTCAGCATCAAGAAGATGGTGCTTAACCATTGGTGAAGGATCCACCCCCCAACACAGCTCCACCTCCTAGTGTTCCAGACAGAAGCCTGCTGCAGAGGCAGAGGCTCTTGGGAATCCTGTACTATGGCAGTGCAGAAGGAAAATAAGGGCTTTGACTGACTATGCAGGAGGCCACCATCCTCGAGACCCCAGATTCATAGACCTACCAACAGTTCACACCCTCAGTATGGAAAAGTGATAGGCTCTCAACACCAGCCCAGCCCATGAGAGCAGCCATGGAGGCTAAAGCCTGCAAAGCCACAGGTGCACTGCCCTGGTAGAAGTTTTCCATGAGCCTTGGCCTCTGCAGCAGGCTACTCCCCCTTCCTACTATCCATCACCCTCCCACCGCCCTACAGCCAGCCTATTCTTCCCCACCCTACCCACCCCTTTTTTCTTCCAGCCCTACCCCTCCCATCCATGATTAAATAATCTCCCACCAGGCCCCATCTCCAAAATTTGGGATTACAATTCCACATGAGTTTTTCCAGGGGCACACAGCCAAATCATATTATGCTGACCTTGACCCCCCAAGTATCATATCCTTTTCACAGAATAAAATACAATCATGCCTTTTCAAAGGTTTCCAAAAGGCTTAACTCCTTCCTGCATTAACTCAAATGTAAAAAGTTCCAAGTCTCATCTGAGACAAGGCTACAGTCTCTTCTGCCTATGAGTCCCTGAAGTTAAAAGGGTGTTTGTTTCTTTCAAGGTACAATGATGGTACAGGTACTGGGTAAACTTTCTCAATCCAAAGGGAAGAAATTTCCAAGAAAAATAACACAAATGGGACCACAGGCCCAATGGACATCCAAAATCCAGTATGTCAGTTTTCATTCAATCTCACAGCTCCAAAATCATGAAGAGAACTCACTATCAGAAGGACAGCATTAAGGAGATGATGTTTAACCATTTGTGAAGGATCCACCCCCACCCCTGCCTTTCACCCCCAACCCCACCACAATCTCCTCCAACCCTCCCCACCCCCGATTCCCTCCAACCCTCTCCACCCCAGAATCCCCCCCACCCTCCCGGTGCCCCCAACCATCCAACCTCCACTCTCCACCATGATTAAATCACCTTCCATCAGCCCCCACCTTTAACATTTTGCATTAACATTCCACATGAGCTTTGGTAGAGACAGAGAGCCAAAACCTATTATTCTGTCTCTGGTCCCCCAAAGTTCATGTCTTTCTCACATTGCAAAATGTAATGATGCTTTCCCTAGAGTCTCTCAAATCTTAACTCATTCCAGCATTTACTCAAATGCACAAAGCCCAGAGTCTTATCTGAGACAAGTCTACAGTCCCTCCTGCCCATGAGCCAGTGAATTATAAAGCAAGTTTACTACTTCCAAGGTACAATGATTGTACAGGCAGTGGGTGACTCATAGGATACATAAGTGTCCAAAACCCAGCAGGCCAGTCACTTAATGCTACAGCTCCAAAATCGCCATTTTTGAATCCTTGTCCCATATCCATGGCACAGGGCTGTGAGGGCTGAGCTCCCAAGGCCTTGGGCAGATCTGCACCTGTGGCTTTGCAGCGTTCAGCCTCCGCGGCTGTCTCTCATGGACAGGGCTGTTGTTGAGTGCCCATAGCTTTTCCACACTGAGGGTGCAAGCTGTTTATGGGTCTATGAATCTGGGGTTTAGAGAATGATGCCTCCCTGTGTGGGGGCTTCAACCCTATAGGTCCCTTCTTTGCTCCTCTAGTAGAGGTTCCCCATGAAGCTCTGCCTCTTGGAAAAGCTTCTTCCTGAACATCCAGGATTTTCTGTGCATCTTCTGGAGTCTAGACAGGAGTTCCCAAGCCTCTAATCTCTTTCTCTGTGCACCTACTGGCTTAACACTATATGGAAACCATCAAGACTTTGAGCCACCTCTGAAGCAATGACCCAAGCTGTACCTGTGCATCTTTCAGCCATGGCTGGTGCTGGAGCTGCACGGATGCCGGCAGCAGTGTCCTGCGGTTGAGCACAGCAGCAGAGCCATGGGACTGGCCTAGGAAACCATTCTTTTCTCCTAGGCCCCAGGGCCTGTGACAGCAAGGGCTGCTGCAGACATCTCTAAAATGCTTTCAAGGCTGGTTTCCCACTGTCTTGGCTTTTTGCACTGGGTTCCTTTTTATACAAATACCCTAAGCCTTCTTGAATTTTCCCCCTCAAAATCGGCTTTTCTTTTTGACCACTTAGCCAGGCTCCAAATTTTCCAAACTTTAGATCTCCACTTGAAGTTCCAACTTGAAGTCACTTCTTAGGTCACCCATAAGAACACAAGCTGTTCAATGTAGGCAGGACACCTCTTGTGCTATGCTGCCTAGATGTTCATTTCACCAGATACATCCTAAATCATCACCCCCAAGTTCATAGTTTCACAGATCTCCAGGGCAGGGTCCCCATGCAGCCAGCTTCTTTGCTAAGGCCAATCAAATGTAATCTTGTCTCTTGTTCATAGGAAATTCCTCATTTTCATCTGAGAACTTTTAGTTCTGGACTTCAGTGTTTACACTTTTGTCAGCCTTCCTATCACAAGTATTTAACAATTCTCTATAGTGGTCCAATATTTTCCTCATCTTGCTGTCTTCTAAGCTTTCCCAACTCTTCTGACCTCTGTCTTTTACCCACTTCTGAACCTGGTTCTACATTGTCAGCTATCTTTATCACAGCCTGGCAATGTGGTAAAACAGAAAAGTCCATTTTCAGGAGGAAAGTTCATGAAGGATTCAGATATTTGCATGAAAAGAAGCTGAGTGCTGGTTGCCAAGACAAAGGGGAAAGGGCCTTGAAGGCATTTCATGGCTCCACTTCATAGTACTAATTTTCTGCATGATCATAAAGAAAAGAGGTTTAATTGGCTCATGGTCCAGCAGGCTGTAAAAGAAGCACAGTGGCTTCTGCTTCTGGGAGGATCAGATCAGGAAGCCTTCCAATCATACCAGAAGGCCAAGGAGCAATGAGATGTTTCAAATGGCAGGGGTAGAAGAAATACTGAGAGAGGAAAGAGGTGCCACCCCCTGTTATATAACCAGATCTCATGAGAACACACTATCATGAAGACAGCATCAAGAAGATGTTGCCTAACCATTGGTGAAGGATCTGCCTCCCACCCGCAACTCCCACTGTTTCCAGGCAGAAGCCTGCTGCAGATGAAGCATTCTTGGGAAACCTCTACTAGGGCAGTGCAGAAAGAAAATATGGACTTGGAGCCCCCATGCAGGAGGCCACCACCCTCCAGACCCCAGATACATAGACCCACCAACAGCTTTCACCCTCCGTGTGGAAAAGCTACAGGCACTCAACACTAGTCCAGTCCATGAGAGCAGCCATTGGGGCTCAAACCTGCAAAGCCACAGGTGCTCTTCCCTAGTAGGGATTTTCCATGAGGCTCTGCCTCTGCAGCAGTCTACTACCCCTTCCTACTACCCACCACCCTCCCACCACCGTACAGCCAGTCTACTCCCTCCCACCCTACCCACCCCTTTTTCCCTTCCACATCCACCCCCACCCATCCATGATTAAATCACTCCCTCCCACTCCCTGTCATAATCTAATCCCTCCAAACCCTTCCAATCTTTGTTTGCTACCCACTACTGAGCCTGCTTCTACTTTTTCAGAAATCTGTATAGCAGGTTGGCTATGTAGCAATAACAAAAATCCCATTTAAGGGGAAACATTCAAGAAGATTTCAAAAATTTGCATATAAAGAAGCCCTGTGCTAATAGCCAAAACAAAGGGAAAAAGGCCTTGAAGGCATTTCACAGCTCCTCTCTGCAGTTCTACTTTTCTGTATTATTGTAAATAAAAGAGGTGTAATTGACTCATGGTTCTGCAAGCTGTGAAGGAAGTATAGTGTCTTCTGTTTCTGGGAGGAATCAGGAAGCCTCCTCATTATATCAGAAAGCCAAGTGACAATGAGATGTCTCCTAAAGCAGGAGCAGGAGGATGAGATCTGTTAAACAACCAGATCTCATGGGAACTCACTCATTATCAGGAGGATAGCATCAAGGTGATGGTTCTTTATCATTTGTGAAGTATCTACCTGCACCATTTTATGACTAAATCTTTTTCCACCTAGACCTTGCCTGTAACATTACAAAATATAATTCCACATGAGTTTTGGTAGGGACATTGACAAAAACCGTATTATTCTGTCCTTGACCCGATGAATCTCATGTCCTTCTCACATTGCAAAATACAAACATGTCTTGCCAGCAGTCTCCCAAAGTCTTAACTCATTTCAGGATTAACTCAAAGTTACAAAGTCCAAAGTCTCATCTGGGTCAAGGCTACAGTCTCTTTTGCCTATGAGTCTCTGAAATAAAAAGCAGGCATTGTGTAAGCTTTCCATATCCAAAAGGAAGACATTTTCCAGAAAGCTTCTTATTTCTCTCTAAGACCTCCTCAGCCTGGCCTTCACTGTTCATGTTTCTGTCAGGATTTTTGTCACAACCATTGAACCAGACTCTAAGATAGTCCAAAAGTTTTCTCATCTGTCTTCTTTTGAGCCCTACAAAGTCTTCCACCCTCCGTCCATTACCTGGTTCCAAAGCTGCTTCCACATTTCCAAGTATCTTTAAAGCAACGCTCCAGTCCTCATTTGCCATTTTCTGTATGATTTATTTTGAAAAAGAGGTTTAATTGGCTCATGGTTCTAAGCACAGTGCTTCTGCTTCTAGGCCTCAGAAATCTTTCAATAATCATGGAAGGCGAAGAAAGAATCAATTGTCTCACATGGCAAGGGGAAAACACGGAGAGTGGGGAGGTGATATAGAGATTTCAGTGACTACATCTCATGAGAAGTCACTCATTATTGTGAGGATGGTACAAGGGGAGGGTGCTGAACCATTCATGAGAAATTTGCCTTCATAATTCAATCACCTTATACCAGGATCCACCTTCCACATTAGGAAATATAATTCAACATGAGATTCGGTGGGGACACATATTCAAATTGCATCATCAATCTTTGAATATAAAGACATCCACAGCAGGCTTTATCCAGCCAACTTCTTTGAGACTCTTTATAGAGTTTGAAGTCTAGAGCATATACACTAAAATATTCATACTTCGAAAAGCAATAAAGTGGTATTATCATTTTTCCAAAAGTTACAGCAGTAGTTTAGGCATTCATAGTATGATTTAGTTCACGATTGCTACTGTTTCTATTCTATCACCATATTAACTGTTTCCTATACAATTCTGTATTCAGCTGGATTTCAGTTGAGCACAAAACCATCCTTGTACTAGCTCTTTGCTAGTGTTATTATTCTGCTGTAGAAAGTATCCTTGAACTGGAAACCGTCCACGATCGAGTATCGAGGCATTCAACACTATCAATTCCTGGGTGACTTTTTGAAAAAGTAGTATCTCTTGTTGCAAGAAATGCTGCATCTGTGAGTCCATGTCTCTCACTGGAATTGGATGGAAGTGGTGAATTTCAGCCAAAGTGGCCAAAGAAATCCTGTTCCTGTGATTCTGACGTCATCAGCCTCTGCACCTCTGTCTTTCCTTCTGCCACATGTTGCCTGCTCTCCATGACTTTGGTAAGAGCTTCCTTGTGTATGTGGATGATGTCCAGGATGTTGGTCTGGTGTCCCTGAGACAGCACTAACAGGTCCATGGCTGGGTCCAGGTCCTTCCTGGACTGACTGGCAAAGAGCTCACTGACAGAGTGGGAGGCATCTATACTGAAGTGGATGGCCTGGTCCAGCTCCAAGGCCTGGCTGAGGCTGAAGAAGAACTGTCAGGCTTCTGATGCTCTTTCTCAAAGCCTGCCACCACTCATTGGCTGTGAAGTTGAGCTGAGTGCCCTGTTGTCCATCTTCTTGGTGAAGCACTTGAAGCCGTCAATCTTGCTCTTCCACTCCTAAAAGTTGAGTGTCACACTGGGGGTGGGCTCAGGGCCAGGAAGAATCTGGCACTCACCATCTCATCCTTCTCAGCCTTCCTCTTGCCCTGTCTCCAGGCTATCTCTTCAGTGCTGGTGGGGCACATCAGGAAGTGACAAAAAATGTGGCACTGCACCTGCATCCAGAAGCTGGCTGTGTGGTTCATCTACAAGATTGGGCCCTTTCTGCACTTGAACATAGATCCACTTCACCATAGATGCCTTCCACACTGTCAGTGAGCTCTTTGCCCATCAGCCCAGGCAGGATCTGGACCCAGTCATGGACCTGTTAGTGCTGTCTCAGGGACACCAGGCCAACATTCTGGACATCATCCACATACACAAGGAAGCTCTTACCAGAGTCCTCCTCAAGATGGCCTGTGGTCTGCCTCTTGGCACCCGAGAAGCCCACAGTGCTGTAGAAGCCCCGATGCTTGGACTAGAGCCCCAAAGGCGGCACACACCCCAGTTCTGAGCCTGCTGCTCATTTCCTCTATGTGGCTCCATTTGCAGCACATTTGTTGCACTGAGGCCTGTGCATGCCAGGCAAAGCCAAGCTGGCTCAAAGAGCAACCACCCACCTCTGCAAGGGTGTGCCAGGAGCCAGTGGACCAGCCACCAACGTGACTCTCTGCCAGTCAGGGTAAATCATTTTTTCTGCCCTGGAGGTGGAGCCCCAGTGCCATCTGCTTTTCCTCAGGCCTGCACTCCATCAGCTGTCAGGTGGTGGTCACTCAGACTGTGGTAAACTGGCCATCCCTATTTCCTTGAGTGGGTGAGGTTGGTGACTGCTCCATCTGCTCCTGGCACACCCTTGCAGAGGTGGCTGGTTGCTCTTTGAGCCAGCTTGGCCTTGCCTGGCATGCACAGGCCCCAGGTACTGAGAAGCTGCTCCGAGTAAGTTTGTCTTGGGCCAAATTCTAAGTCTGGCCAGGGCCACAGAAGGCCGAGTCCCATGGGTGGTAATCCTGGCTGCTGCAGGGGGGCCCATGGTGCCCCTCCCCTCCCAGGGCTCAGGATGAGGTCCGACTGGGACAGGATGCTTTAGGTATGGGACTTGTGCCCCAGGAGGGGACCTCTGTCACACACGTTGGGTGAGAATATGTATGGCATGCTGCTGGCTGCCAGGGCTGTTAGGATGCACGTTCACCCTTACCTTCAGGGACCTCAAAGTGACCAGCTTCCGCTTTATGAATGACTTCCCAAGGCCCAGGAGCCATTTGGGGCTGCAGAGCAGCTGGCTGCTAGCTGCCCTGGCTTCTTCCATGTAGTGCTGGTCACTACCTACCAAGGGGGGTCAGATGCAGGCACAATGTAGGATGATTGTCTCTGGACCTGTGTCTTGGTTATCATGGAGCTAGACTGGGCCTGGTGACAGGGCCCTGATGGGGTTGTCCTGTGTGGTCACGGAGGTGATCAGAAAAGATGCAGAATGGAATTGCTGCGAGGATGAATGAGATGACTGTCAGCACATAACAGGCAGCTGGTGAGTGTTCAGGGATTACCCTCAGTAGCTGCCCAGAGGCCAAAACCATCCACCTGATAGTGACTTTTCCCAAACCAGGAGGAAGAGAAAAGAGCAGGTCCCACTCACCTGAATCTGATCAGTGAGCTGTGTTGAGATGTGCCTCTCATCTAGAAAATGGTCCTTCACGCAGAGCTACTCACAGACACTGCTGTGTGTCTCTAACTGCTCCACAACACAGAGGCGATGGGGACTCAGCAACAGTGACATTGTGGGGTGACACAACCCACAACCATGGGAGTCTGCTTGGGTCAACAGGGCCCAGAGTCAGTGTCCTCTATCCCCTGAACTGACATGTGTGTATGCAATGTATTTGTGTATGCATGTGTGCCTGTGTGTGTGTGTGTGTGTGTGTGTGTGTGTGTGTGTATGTGTCTTGCTTCTCTGGACAGGCCTAGCTTCTCCACTCATGGGTGCACCCAGGTCCTCATCACTGTCACCTTAGAGCATTAGAGCCTCTATAGTTGCTCCCCAATCTCTACCCTCCCCACCCATGGTGGTCCTGGGGATGCAGACAGAGGAGGGGCACTGCATAATGCTGAGAGGCCTGGCACCCTCTCTAGGTGGAACACAGGTCATTTGTAAAGTTGTAGGTCTGCCAAGCAGTATTGGATTCAACACATCTTCTCACCTTCTCTTTCCAGCCACCCTCCAGGGTGCCCCAACTCACTTTCCCTGCAGATGGAGGCAAGGAGCCTCCACAGACAACCCCCCTGCCTGAGGTCACATAGTGGCCAGCAGGCCAGTTACTGACCAACTGCCCCTGACCAGGTTCCCAGTGATGAGTGATGAGGCCCCTAATGACCACTCCTCCATTGACCAGGTCCCACTGATCAAGTCCCCACTGACCATGTCTTCCTAACCAGGCCCACACTTAATAGGCCTCATGGGCCAGACCCCACTGACCAATTTTCCACTGACCTGGTCCCCATTGACAAGACCGGGTTCCCACTGACAAGACCACAATTTACCAGGTTGCTGCTCACCCGACCCCCCACTGAACAATTCTCCATGAACGAGTACCCAGCTGACCGAGCCCCCTCTGACCAGGCCCTCACTGACCAGCCTCCAAGCCACTAAGGCCCCACACTGACCAGGCCAGTGATATATTGTGTATGCCCCACCAACCAGTTTTTCATTGTTTATGTTCCAACAGATCAGGCCCCACTAATAAAGCCACCACTGACTAGGTTCCCCCACTGACCAGGCTTCCTATGGCTAGGTCACCAGGTCCCCACTGATGAGGCCTTTACTGAGGAGGCCGCCACTAACCAGGCCCCTGCTGATCAGGTCCCAAATGACTAGGTCCTGATGACCAGGTCATCTCTGACCATGGTCCACTGACCAGGCCCCGGAGCAACGGGGCTCAAAGTCTCATTACAATGTCCCCCTCAGCTCATAGACCCTCCCTCCCTGCATGTGTGCCCAGAGGTCAGGCCCTGGGGGTTTTTTTGGGACATGGCCTTTCCTCCAAGACACAGGGAGAGACAGTTGGCCTCAGGCTCCAGGTTCCCAGCTCCACACTCACCCCAAAGGCCCTCTGGGCCCGTCTCAAAGGAGAAAGTGAGATGGCCTGACACTGCCTGGACACACCATCTACCCTATTCCTGAGTGTCAGAGTGTGAGGAAGGGAGGGACATTTAGCAGATAAGGCACGCTGTGCTGTTGGGTCTCTCAGGGCCCTTCCCACAGAGCCCCGATCTAAAGACACAACACAGAGGCTACAGGAAGACTAATCCAGAACCTCTGAGACAGCCAGGGACCACATGAGGACTCTCCCCAGACAGCCAGAAGGCCCTTTGCTAGTTTCTTGGTACCTCAGTGGATGTGGCAGTGGTTCTTCTGTTGGGGACCAGTGAGTACACACTGGGGAGGGCTCACCTGTGCTTCCTCAGTGGCTCCACCTCTGCTTCTAAAAAAAATTACTCATTCCAGAGCTAGCGCAGAGAAAATACAAGCTGAGCTTAGAACATCTTCTGCCACAAAGTAAAAAAGTGCCGACAGAGTAATGGAGACAAATCAAAGAGACATAAAGTCAGCTTGGAATGTCTACTACTGGCCTAATCTTGGGGAATTGGAGCATCAGAATCATGAGCTTTCCTTCTCCCTTATTTATTGGTTTTATTTCTCCATGTAGAACAAAGAAGATAATAAGAAAATAATCATCTGGTAACCATCATAGTAATAATTGTTCAAACACAAGTCATCCATGAAATGCTAAATCTAGTGGGTTCTGAGGAGTAACCAGATATTTACAGAGCCTCAAAGTATCTCCATACAAAATACGGTTGAACTACTAAAAGAAAATTGTAACATTAGCATGGACAAACCTGGTAGGTACTCCTTAAGTCTCCTAAGTAATAAAAACTGTAAAATGCAAATAAGCCTTCGATGACCTTTACTAACCTTTACTAAAGTATCAATGATGACTTGGTTGTTTAAACAGCTGACATTTGGGCAATTTGAGTATGTCAAACTCAATAATACTGGTTTTCATTTGCAAGATCCACTTAAAACTTAAGGAGGCCAAAAAACATCATTTAAAATACCCTATAAATTATAATCATACATATGATACAAAAATATCCTACTTCAGTAAATATTGGAATGTTATATATTTTATGAGAAACAATTAAAATGTGTAAATAGCCCAGTGATAAAGTTTTATAATCTTTTAAATCATCATACAATTTTTCCTTAAGACTTTATGGTTAAATATTCTCTTCATTAGATGTGGCTTACCCGTGGATTCCAGAGAAGAAAGTAGATGGGAGCAAGTGTCCAATACAGCAACAGCTGGAAAGAAAAATAAAGAATTTTGTTCTTTACCTAAAACACTTCAGTTAACTAAGTGTGAGTTTAAAAACTAAAGACTTGAGAACTTTATCAGAGTTAATAAGAACGAGAAATATGTATGTACATTTACAATACAAAATTACTATTTAATAATTTACACATGGCATTAATTCTAATTGTGTTTAAATATCAGAGCTTTTTCAGGCTTCATTCATGTAATCAACAGCCACATGCTAAGGTACTCGAACCAGCAGTGGAATTACAAGATGAAGATGGCATGGTCCACCTCTCAACAGTCATAAGCTATAATCTAAAAAACAGACAGGCAGGCAATGTCTATATAGAGTCATATATACCATGACAGATATAGAGCAGGGCACTACTGGAACACAGAGAAGGGACATCTACCCACTTTTATGTCAATATCATGGGCTTTCTGGTGGAGGAGATAACATAGGTTGATACCTGAAGGACAAGGAAAAGCTTCCCAGATAGAGGAAAGAGGCAAAGGCAAAGAGCCTGAGGTAAGGAAGAGCCCTGCAGAGTTCCACTCCATCCAGTTTGGTGCTAGAGCAAAGGGCAGAGTGCAGTAAGCGGTGAGAAACAAGACTGAGTAACTTGACAAGAATCACATTGACATGGGTGTTTTTATTTCATGGTGAAAAATTTGGAACTTTTCCTGAGAACAAGTGTAAGCCAATGACACAGTTAATTAGAGGAGATTTAAAATGTCACCTGTCAAGTGACTGCTTATGAAGGGTTATTGCTCAGCTAAGTATTTCTGAATGAGTCTTAGGTCTGTTGGCCTTCAATCTCTACCAAAACCCTGAGAACTTGATGATGCTTTTGTTTTCTGAGAATCGTTTCAGTGTGCTGGCTGACAGTTCCATGAGGATGGCAAAACTTAAGAAAGTGTAGAGCCAATGAAAAAGAGATGCACAGACATCTTGGGAACTGTTTAAGCTTTGGAACATGATGAATTTATGGTGCATAAGTACAGTCTTCTCTGTGAAAGTTTTTGTTTTCACATCTTTCATTAGATGTGTGTAAGAAAAAAAATATTGATGTAGTATCTACTAACCCAAGAATGAAAAGGAATGCCATTTGCTATTTACACTTTATTTCTAAAATAAACCTAAATTTAATTAATAAATTTTGTCATCGTACTTCTCTTTGTTTCTCTAATTATTTATTCTACACAGTCCGGCCCCATCTAAAATAAGTAAAAATAATAGTAATGTCTAAATTAAACAAGAAACATTATCATGAAAATCATGTATCACTTACAAAATGTGGCCTTTAGTATTTTTAGTGACTAGACATAACTTGAAGTTTGCTTAAATAGAAAAATAATCACATAAATAAAATAAAATTTCTACTTATTTTAAGTTTAGATAACAGAGGATGTATATGTGTAATGCTGTTTAGAGTAATCTGACAAAAATGCAGTTAACACTAATCTATTGCATATACATGATTTTAGAAAGGTAGTGTTTTATTAGTACAAAGGTTAAACAATGGCCAGGCATGGTGGCTCATACCTGTAATCCCAGCACTTGGGGAGGCCAAAGCAAGCAGATCACAAGGTCAGGAGATCGTGACCATCCTGGCCAACATGGGGAAACCCCATCTCTACTAAAAATACAAAAATTAGCTGGGCGTGGTGATGTGCACCTGTAGTCCCAGCTACTTGGGATACTAAGGCAGGAGAATTGCTTGAAGCCAGGAGGTGGAGGTTGCAGTGAGCCAAGACTGCATCACTGCACTCCAGCCTGGTGACAGAGTGAGACCCTGTCTCACAAAAAAAAAAAAAAAAAAAAAAAAAGATTAAGTAATTAAAGCCATCTTTTGCAATGAATGCATTGCTTTGAAATTCTTAGAAAAGTCTGCCCTTTATAAAAGTTTAATCCATTTTTTACTTCAATAAATTTTATCTTAAAAAGAAATTTCTGTTCTCTACTTATAGTAAACTTTTCTTTTTTTTTCTAGTTTGTATTCTAAATTAACGTGGTACCTCTGTAAGTTTCTTCCAAAGGCATATTGAGGGATACCGAGGTTTGCAGTACAATTAAACCCATCACACAGGTTGTGAGCATAGGACCCAAGAAGTAGTTTTTCAACCCTGGCCCACTCTGTCCCTCCCCGTTCTTATTTCCCAGTGTCTATTATTCCCACCTTTATGACAATGTGCACCCAATATGTAGCTCCCACATGAGTGAAAACATGAGATATTTGGTTTCTGTTTCTGCGTTGGTTTGCTTAGGAGAGTGGATTCCAGCTGTATTCATGTTGCTGCAAATGACGTGATTTTGTTCTTTTCATGGCTGCATAGTATTCCATGGTATATATAGAATTTTCCAATCTACCTTGGATTTTCAATCTACCTTGGATGTACCTGGATTGACTCCACATCTTTGCTATTGTGAATAGTGCTGCAATGAACATACATGTGTATACATCTTTTTGTTACAATGATTTATTGTCCTTTCGGTATACCCCTAGTATAGTAATGGGGTTGCTGCATCCAACAGTCATTCTTAGTTCTTAATTTCCAAACTGCTGTCCATAGTAGCTGAATTAATTTACATTGCCACAAACGGTTTGTGTTCCCTTTTCTCCACAGCCTATCCCAATATCCTTTTTTAAGTTTTTATTTATTATTTGTTTTTAACAAAAGTCATTGTGACTGGTGTGAAATGGTATCTCATTGATGTTTTGTTTGGCATTTTTCTGATGATTAGCAATGGTAAGCATTTGTTAATGTTTGTTGGCCACTTACGTGTGTTATTTTGAGAACTGTCTGTTCATGTCCTTTGCCCATTTTTAATGGTCTTAATTATTTTTGGCTTGTTGATTTGTTTAGGTCTCTTATGGATTCTGGATAATAGGCATTTGCTATATCCATACTTTGTGAATATTTTCTTCCATTCTTTTAGGCTGTCTGTTTAATCCCGTGATAGTTTCTCATGCTGTGCAGAAGCTATTTAGCTAAATTAGATCACACTTGTCAATTTTTGTTATTCTTGCAATTGCTTTTGAGGACTTAGCCATAAATTAATTGACAAATATGATCTCCAGAAGAGTATTTCCTAGGTTTTCTTCCAGGATTTTTATAGTCAGAAGATGTACTCTTATGTAAGGAAAGCACAAACCTTTTTTTTGTTTTGTTTTGAGACAGAGTCTCCATCACCAAGGCTATAGTGCAGTGGTATGATCTTGGCTTACTGCAACCTCTGTCTCCTGGGTTCAAGTGATTCTCCTGCCTCAGCCTCCTGAGTATCTGAGATTACACATGCCTGCCAACACGCCTTGCTAATTTTTGTATTTTTACTAGAGACAGGGTTCATCATGTTGGCCAGGCTGGTCTCAAACTCCTGACGTCAGGTGATTCACCTGCCTCGGCCTCCCCAAATTTTGGGATTACAAGTGTGAGCCACCATGCCTGGCCAAGCACAAAGCTTTTAACATAAAAATGGAAATGAACATTTTAGTGTTTTGTTTAATTCATAAAATGCAATTATTTTGGATTCTACTAAATAATAAACATCCATATGTGGCAAAGTGTTTGGATGCCAATCATTCAGTTGTGATTATGGGTGGGAAGAATTGAGATGGTGCAAATAAACTTTTTTAATTTTTTTTTTTATTTTCAAGATGGAGTCTTGCCCTGTCACCCAGGCTGGAGTGCAGTGGTGCAATCTCAGCTCCTGCAACCTCCGTCTCCCAGGTTCAAGCAATTCTCTGCCTCAGCCTTCCTAGTAGCTGGGATTACAGGTGCCCACCACCACACCAGGCTAATTTTTTTTTTGTACTTTTAGTAGAGATGGGGTTTCACCATCTTGGCCAGGCTGGTCTTGAACTCCTGACCTCGTGATACACCTGCCTCAGCCTCCCAAAGTGCTGGGATTACAGGAATGAGCCACCACACCTGGCTGGTGCAAAGAAACTTTAAAAGTGGCATGGGCCGGGTGCGGTGGCTCATGCCTGTAATCCCAGCACTTTGAGAGGCTCAGGCAGGCAGATCACAAGGTCAGGAGTTCAAGAAGAGCCTGGCCAATATGGTGAAACCCTGTCTCTACTAAAAATGCAAACATTAGCTGGGTGTAATGGTGGGTGGTTGTAGTCTCAGCTACTCAGGAGGCTGAGGCAGGAGAATCACTTGAACCCGGGAGGTGGAGGTTGCAGTGAGTGGAGATGGCACCAAGACACTCCAGCCTGGATGACAGAGTGAGACACTGCCTCAAAAAAAAAAGAAAAAAAATGTGGTATGAACCACAGCTAAACTACAATCAATTAGAGAGTAAGCCAAAGCATCTCAAAGTATATCATCAGTTATCAGGCAATAACATGCAATTTCTAAAACCTAACTTAAATGCAGCTTTTAAAGACATTTCAAACGTGTCAGTTTAGTCACATTTATTGAATAAAGTTAGCAAATGGATATCTCTTGAAAATGAGAGCTCCAGGGAATTAAAAAATGTAAAGTTCCCATTTCCTTTCTGTGTTAACACAGCTAATTATGATCTTTACTTCACATGCAAAAGTCAACAGAACAACTCAGTATTTCACCAAATTATAAACAAGAATTACGCTAGAGAAATGAAACCCTAAAGAGAAACGGTCATATAACTAACCTCAGTCAAGTAGTTCTGGCAGTTATTTGAAGTCTGAGGTTTGAAGTAGGAATTCTTACGGGCATTTGGGGAATATATTTTCTGTTGAGTCCTATACTAGTAAGATTTTCAACACAAGGTGACTCTCGACCTCGCCTTGTAGGAAGAGTGCTGAGAAAATATTTCACCTGCTCTTTCTCCATAAAGAGCTGATACTGATCATTGCTATTTTCTTATTCGATCTGTAAAGATAGCAAAGACAAATGTTTAATATTTCATTTTTCCTTAAATGATTCTTAATGACTTGAAGTTTTTAAAAACTTACCCTGAGAGTAAACCAAATTACCCACTAAATAGTGTTTTCACATAGAAGATGTGTAAGAGCATACCTGTTGTAAGGAATTATAATTTTAAAATCGTTCTAAAGAATCACCATTGTTTCTAAGGTGATTTCTACTGAACAAGCAGTTCAAACAAAGTAGACAGGGAAGAGAAATGGCTATCAGTGATTTATGGCTCAACAGGTAAAACTTCCTGCCTTCTAAAATGGTTCTACTTGTAAGATTCTGAAGATTCAATTAGAAATACTTGTATTTAAAGGGTAATAATGTGGGAAAATGAATATGTTGATTTGCTTGATTATAAGAACCACTTCACTAGAAATAATTATATCAAAACATCATGTTATACTCCTTAATGTAGGTTAAGAAAACTAAAATGAACGAAAAAAAATCTAGGAATACTTGTGTTTAGTAAACCAGTTTTAGATTTCACTTTTGTACATTTCACCCATTATCTAGGACCAATTAAACATTTGGCACTGAGGAATAATTCAGAGCAACAACTCCTAGGGGAGAACTAGATTGTCTGGTTGGTGATCAAAAAGAACTAAAGCATCTCTGAAGGCAATTAGTCCCCAACACTGTGACCAAGGCCCTGGAGGTGGGGCATGTTCTTTCTGCCTTCCACACACCGCTTCAGGCTGAACAAGGTGTTATTTTTTAACCGCTTTGTGAATTACACTTCTTTAAATTCCTGTGATAATTATTCCCTATTTCACAAGGGTGCCTTTCTGCAGCATCTTGAATATGTTACACAAATAGTCTTTCTTGAGGCACCCTCTGGTGATAATACTAAAGATCACAATCAAAAACAATTGTGCCCAGAGTAGCAGTACCACTTTGCATTTAGGTTGTGATCCACTGAAAAGTAAATTAAACACATTAATATTTCTATTTAGGGAAATTCTGACAAGTAATTTTATAACAAGATCACTTCATTAATTATAAAGCTTCAAAAATACTTAGTGAAAAAAACTAACAGATCAGGTTAATTACATGAGACTTTTCAGGAAAAAAAGCCATACAAAAGCAAAAAAAAAAATGAGAGGAGAGACAAAAACTATCTTTGACTAACATTTTAAAGGTAAAATTATTTACTCACATTATTTTTCAAAATTACATTGTCAAATTAGCATTCACTTGCTTCTAATCTCCTGAAGCCATCTCACTAAAAATTATGCTTTTGAAACAAATTAATGAGCTTAATTCATTTTCTATGAGTGTATGTTTTGACTTACTTAGTTAATTTTTTTGACATGGAACTATTAGCTTTCAATGCTGCTGCAAAGGCTTCCTTATATTCTTCTAACTCAGTTGTAACCTCTTCATAAGCAGTTTTCATTTTGTAGAATTTACATTCCACATCTTTAAGTGTGAGTTCCTTCTTATTTAGTGAAGCTGTATTATATCCTTGTTTAACTGCTCTAATTGTTTTTTATGTTCTGCTTGTTCCTAAAACAGAGGAAAAGAATACACTTTTAAAACAATTATAACCTAATTATTATGTTTGTTGCCTTTCATTTTGAGTCAGTGATTCAAAGAGTATTTTTGAATATGTTAAAAAAGAGGATGAAGTTTAAAATATTTCAGCAATATCAAAACTAATAACTGAATTCAGAATTAAGTCTGATTTGTAAAAATTTGAAATCATAATTATGCTAGTATTAATGTAATCTGGTCATATAAAAAGTAATAGAATCCATTCATAGTTTTAAAAAGTGATCAATGAACACTGTAGCTTAAGACCAATTCATAATTATCACATAATTTCTAAATCACAATTTTTTCCTATGCCAACTGGTCTTAATCATCAAATGACTCCATAATGAGAATCATTACTCTGAAAGATTGATTTTGTTATAATAATAATGGAAATTTAAATATTTAAAAGAAAAAACAGATACCATTTTTTTCTAGAACTCTACAAAGCAGATTGCTACAAGAGAGGCAGAGGAAACACTATATATATATATATATATATATATATATATATATATATATATATATATCCAAAATATAATTTGCAGTGAAATAAATGAAAGCACATTACAAGTAAACTTACCTGATTTAAACAACTCACCTGTAAATGGATTTCTTCTAATTTTTCTACTGCCTGCATTGCCCTTTCATCTAGCTCTGATTTATATTCTTGTAGTTTACTAAGTTCTACCATACTGTTTTCCATATGTGTCTTAAGATTTAATATTTCTTCTTCCAACATCTTTTTATCCTCCTCAAGTTTTTCACATTCCTGTTGTACTTTTTTCATAGATAATAACTCCTGTTGAAAAACTTGAATCTCTTTAGCCAAATTGACACATTTTGAAGATACAGCTTCCTTCTCCGCCATAAAATCATCAAACTGCATGAATAAAATAGTATAGCTTGATAATGAAGTAGGCTGAGAATAATCGAATACAAAACCAATAGCAAATTATGAAATGCATTTACTTGCAATAAAATGTTATCTGTAATGCAGCAGATTCTTCAAATGTGAACCCTTAAATTACTCAGAATTTTAAGAACAAAGTTAAAGCTACCATGAGTCATAAAAATATATTCTTTACTATCATCATCTTTGCCACAGAATTTTTGTACTTCATTTTACTTTTATTTTTCTGATAATTCATTTTTGTTCCTCCTTAAATGGCACAAAGTTATCTCCTAGTAAAAAGTGTCTAACCCCCTTCCTTCATTATCATTCCCCACAGTATGTCAAAAAAAGTTTCAGAGATATCATATTGAGTTATTTAGGCCAAAGTCAATAAATGGGTCTAGGAATAAGACTTTGAAAATGATATTACACTCTATATTAGGTATGGTGGCTCATGCCTGTAATCCTAGCACTTTAAAAAGCTGTGGCAGAAAGATCACTTGAGGCCAGGAATTCGAGATCAGCCAGAGCAACATAGTGAGACCCCCATCTCTACAAAAAAAAATTTTTTTAATTACCCGGGCATGGTGGCTCATGCCTGTAGACCCAGCTAGTTGGGATACTGAGGCAAAAGGATGGCTTGTACCCAGAGTTCAGGGCTGCAGTGAATTATTATCACTGCACTTCTGCCTGGATGACAGACAAAGAACCTATCTCAAAAAAAACCACAAAATAATGAAATCTATGATTAAGGATTCTGATGCTATAAGCCTTTCCTTAAACTGCAAATGTTTCATGCTAATTTGAATTGCATTTTAAGAAGTAATGTTTCTTGGGGTAAAGACCATAGAATACGGCACCCAGAAATAAATCCACATATTTCCAGCCAACTGATTTTGGACGAACATGCCAAGAACATACGCTGGGGAAAGGACAGCCTCTTCAAATGAATGACACTGGGAAAACTAAATATCCATATGGAGAAGAATGATATTAGCTTCCTATGTAACACCATATAACAACATAAACTCAGAATCGATTGAAGACTGAAATGTAAGGCCCAAAATTATCAAACTACTCTAAGTAAATATAGGGAAAATGCTTGAGGACATTAGTCTGCACAAAGATTTTTATGGGTAAGACATCAGAAGCATAGGCAAACAACAAATCATAGACAAAAGACACTACATTAAGCTAAAGAGTTTCTGTCCAGCACACAACAGAGTGAAGAGAAAACCTGTAGAATAGGAGAAAATATTGTCAAGCTATTCACCTAATAAGGGACTAATATACAAAATATACAAAAAAACTCAAACAACTTCACAGTAAAAAAAAATCTGAGTTTAAAATTGGGCAAAATATCTAACTATACTTTTTTTAGAAAAAGAAATACAAATAGCCAATAAATAAATTTTAAAATGCTCAGTATCACTAATCCTCAGGGAAATACAAATCAAATCTACAATGTGATATAATCTTGCTTCAATTTGAATAAATTGCTGTCATTGAAAAGACAAAAAAAATAACAAATGCTGGTGAGGCTCCAGAGAACAGTAAACTCTTACATGCTGTTGGTGGGAAGGTAAATTAGTGCAGCCACTATAGAGAACAACAGGAGGTTTTCTCAAAAAAACTAATAATGGGACTGCCGAGGGATCCAGCAACCCCACTACCGGGTATTCAGGCAATAGAAAAGAAAACAATAGATCAAAAGGATATCTGTCCTCATATGTTTACTGTAGCACTATCCACAACAGCTTCTGTATGGAATCAACCTACATGTCCATCACCAAATGAATGGACGAAAAACTGTGGCACACAAACACAGTGGAATACTATTCACCGTATAAAGGAATTAAATCCTGTTATTCGTGGCCAAGTGGATCAGTCTGACGGATGTTATGTTAAGTGCAGACACAGAAAGATAAATACTGCACATTCTTACTCATGTAAGGGAGCTAAAGGAAAATTGAAGGCTGGGAAATATGGCTGATGCCTGTAATTTTCTAGCTCTTTGTAAGACCAAGGCAAGAGAATCATTTGAGGCCAAAAGTTCCAGAGCTCCCTGGGCAACATAGGGAGATATCTCTACAAAGTCAAAAATCAGACATGTGCAATGGTGCATGCCCATAATGCCAGCTGCTCAGGAGGCTGAGGTGTGAGGATCAGATGGGCCCAAGAGTTTGAAGCTGCAGTGAACTATGATCAAACCACTGTCTCCAGTCTCGGTGACTACAGTTGCCCAGAGCCCAGACTACACTAGCAAGACCCTGTCTCTTAACAAAAAAAAGCTCACAGAAGTAGGGGAGGGGAGGCTGGTTAATGGATACAGAATTACAGTTAGATAAGAGGAGTGAGTTCTGGTGTTCTGTGGCATTGTAGGGTGAATATGGTTAACTATGACTTATTGTATATTTTTAAAAAGCCAGAAAATTTTCAATGTTCACAATTCAAAGAAATGAAAAATGGTTGAAGTAGTAAATGTGCTAGTTAGTTTGATCATTACACACTATATACGTGTATAAAAATATCACTCTATAGCCCATAATTATGTATATATGTGTCAATTAAAACAAAAGAGAAGCTACATTCATCCCATTTAAAAAACAGAATATGGGCCAGCCTTACTGACTTCCTTCTAATGAGTTGAATGTAGTGAAAGGGATACCATGTGGCTTCCCTATCTCAGACTGTTTTCCCTTGGAGCCCAGCCCCAATTGTGAGAGCCTGAAAGTGCCTGTGTTAGTGTTCATGCTGCCTGTCCCAACCAAGTTTACAGCCGATGGCCAGCATCAACCATCAAACAAGTGGGTGACCAAAGCTTCAGAGGATTCCATTTCCCCAACTGATCAGCTGTTCCTAGGGAAGCTGAAGGGAGCAGAGACAAGCTGTCCTGGCCAAGTTTTTCCCAAACCACAGGTTCATGAACAAAATAAATGTTTTTCCTTCAAACCACAAGACTCTGGGTAATTGTTAGGAAAATAAGTTTTAAAAAGAGACAACAGGAAACATAACTTATGCAGCAGAAAAGAGTCTCCTTTAAAGCAGGATCTAAAAAATGTTGATATTTATTTAATGATGTCAAACATTATTGAGAAGCAGTAGATAACCAGGAGAGAGACATAAGCTGCTGAGGAGGAATTTTCCTAAAACTCCTTCAATTATGAACTCTGATAACAAGACAAGGGTGTCTTCTTACAATTTCTCCTCAAGTTAGGAAGTAAGACTGGGAAGCAAGAAGATGTATGATTTGAAAAACAACTAGAAATACTGGGTGACATAGGCAAAATCAGACATTTACCTGATTTCAATTAACTAAAATTCTAAAAGAAGAAGTTTTGAGTATTTATTAATCAACCTAGTATTCAATTTTCATTTTCTTTTCTAAATGAGGAAATAAGGAGAATATTATGGAATGATTTTTATTCTTCACAGAAGTAAAATAAGCATAATGTATTTTGAGTGTTAAGACACAAATGCAATTTCTCCTTTACCTTACTCCAAGCTTGTTTGTATGGAGAAGTTAAGACCATCCCATCTCTTTGTTATGCCACAATGCTTCTCTATAGCACACAACTTGGCTCTGAAATTTTGAAAGTCAAAATACTAATCTACTATGTGTCTCTGATAAATTGCCTGAACGTTACCTGATTTTGAAGTGCTGCACTCCTAAGACTTTTTCTTGGAATGAGTTAAACGTTTTATTCCAAGAATCCTCTACTGAGCTAGAAAGCAGAGCTGTGCATCTCTGTTTCAGTAAAAGGAGGTCAATACAGGGAACTGTGGTTTCTGAGAATGCAAGATCTGCACTAAGAAAAGGATTAGCCACAGTGCTACCCAAGAGAACCAGCTACCAGGAGGAAAGAGGGTCTGTAAACTGCAAGATGATGACTTCACTTGATTTCCACTGAGGAAAGCTGGTGGCTCAGACTTAAACTTCCCCTTCCTAGATGGTAAACATCTATGGAAGGTTCTATGAATTATAATGAGTTAGTAAAACATAATGCACTGAATATTAGACTATGTCAGCAGATCCTGTAACAAAAACTTACTGAAAATATAACTATAGTGGGAGGCAATGGAAAAGAGACTAAAGGCTTGAATGGAGAAAAAAAGAAATTAAGTGTGTCTTGTAAGCCTGGTGTCTGATCATGTCTTAGAGGAAGTAAGGTATAAGCTGGCCAGAGACTCCTTTGTGACACAAAAGGTGAAGTTACAGACATTCCACTAAATTTAATTTTTATTATGACATAAGACAACTGGTAATATGCAACATGATTGAAAAAAACTTCTCATTCAATTCGATTGGGCCTTGACATAAGAATAGACATAAAAAAGCTAAGAATTGACAATCTAAAAATAAGCCTGCACTTTTACAGTCACTTGATTTTATACAAGCTTAACAAAAGAACAAAATGGGAAAAGAATAGTCTTTTCAACAAATGGTGCTGGGACAACTGGGTATCCATAAGCAAAAAATAAATAAAGTTTGACCAAATATCTTATTTAATAATTAACTCAAAATAAAATAGTTAACTGTAAAAGCTAAAACTATAAAACCCTCAGAAGAAAACACTGGCATAAATCTTTGTGACAGCATTTGCCAGTTTTTTCTTAGCTATGACTCCAAAGGAAAAATGGATTCAATGGACTTCAAAATTGAAAACTGCTGTGCCTCAGAAGACAGTATGAAGAAGTGAAAAGGTAAGACGCCAAGTAGAAGAAAGTATTTGAAAAGCGTGTATCTGATAAGGGACTTACATATATAGGAAATATAAATAACTCTTGCAATTAATAAATAACAAGATAAGCCAATTTTTAAAAATGGGCAAAGATTTTGAATAGATATATCTGCAAAGAAGATATAAAGATGGATAAGCACATTAATAGATGCTTAATGTAATTAGTCATTAGGAAAATGTAAATCAAAACCACATGTGGTATCACTTCACACCACAGGATAAAATCTTTGTTCAAGAAAAAAGAGTGTTAGGAAAAATGTAAAGAAATTAAAACCCTTATCTAATGCTGCTGGGAATGTAAAGTGATGCAGCCACTTTGGAAAACAAACTGGCAGCTCCTTAAAGGGTTAAGCATGAAGTTACCATATGACACAGAAATTCCAGTCATAAGTATATACTCCAGAAAAATAAAAACATACCCAAGCACAAAAACTCATACATAAATGTTTACAGCAGCATTATTAATAGTAGTCAAAAGGTGGAAAGAACCAGAAGGTCTGTCACCTTTGGGTGGGAGAGAACCCAAAGGTCCATCACCTGGCGAATGGATAAATAAAATGTTTGATGTATCCATACAATGGAATATTACTCAGCAATAAGAAGAAATTAAGTACAGATACCGTATTAGGAGGAGACAGCAAAATGCCTAGGCAGATACGGAAGGGTCCCTGGAGAATCTCCAACCAGCCCCACAAGTGTTTACACCAGATGTTATGTGCAGATAAGGGAACCTGGACTTGTCTTGCCTGGACATGCCCACAGCAGACCGGAGGCCAACATGCAGTGGGGGGATGGGGTGGAGTCACCAGGAATTCACGCCTTATGCAGAGGAGGAGCCTGGCCGCTTCAGCTCATGTGATCCTGGTATTCAATTGTGAGGTGGAAACCTCTTTGCAGGACCCCTCTCTTTGCTGAGAGCTGTCCTTTCACATAATAAATTCTGCCCTCCTCAATGTGTCTGCATGCTTAATTTTTCCTGGTCACGAGAGAAGAACCCAGATGTAGCTGAACTAAGGAGCAAAAACCCGGCATCAATACCTGCTACAGCACAGATGCAGCATGAAAAATTATGCTAAGTGAAATAAGCCAGTCCCAGCAGACCACTTGCTTTTTATTTCAGAGGCTTATAGGCAAATCTATACAAAGAAGGTGGGTGGTTCCCTAGGGCTGAGGGAGGAAGGGAAAACTAGTGAAGATGGCTAAATGCTGTGGGGTTTGTTTTTAGGGTGATGAAAATGTTCTAAAATTAATTGTAATGATGACGGCATAACTCTCTGAAAATGCTAAAGTTAATGAATTCTATACTTTAAATGAGTGAATTGCATGGTGTGTTCATTATTTCTCAATAAACCTGTTACCCCCCACCCCAAATTAATTTGGTACTAGAGATCTGGAGATAGGTACTGCTTGGTTTCAAATCACTGGCCAGGGTTCAAGGTCTAAGAGAATCAACAACATGTCCCTTTTATAGAAAAAGAGATTTATATTTTACAAGCTATCCTTTTCATTAGTATCAAGTCTGTAAACTTAAATGAAAAATCTTTCTTTCACTGCTTAAAGCACTGACAGATTTATATAGAGGAATAAGACCTTGTTTTCTTTGGCCCCAATTTCTATCTAAAGGGTCTGGGAAACACACCCTTCAAATTATCAAATCTCATCAGATGGGTTTTATTAACACTTATAATGTGGCTTCCTTGCTAATCTGATTCTGGTGCAGCATCACAGAGAGAAGAAGCTGAAGGAAATCAAAATATTTTACCCCCAAATATATTTTTGATGTATTTTGAAATGGCTGCTGCAGGGCCAAGAGATTGAAATGACCCTCATTAAGGTAGCCCAATCTCTCCCCTTCTAGGTCTTCCCAGATCTGGGGAAGATTAACTAAGAGCCTGAGGCATTTAAAGTTTGAAAAGATATATTTACCCTCTATTTTCTCAACATATTTTGGCAGAATTTGGATTTTTCCATTATCAATATTTTCCAAAATGCATGATTTTTAATACCAAAACTGATTTAAAATTACCATACGTTGGAATATAAATTATTCTATTATAAAGATACATGCATTTGCATGTTCACTGCAGCACTATTCACAATAGTAAAGACATGGAATCAACCCAGATGGACATTATCAGTGATAATGGGATAAAGAAAATGTGGTATATATACACCATGGAATACTATGGAGCCATAAAAATGAATGAGATCATGCTCTTTGCAGGAGATATGGATGAACCCGAAGCTGATATCTTCAGCAAACTAATGCAGGAAGAAAAAACCAAACACTGCATCTTCTCACTTATAAGTGGGAGCTGAACGATAAGAACACATGGACTCGGGGAGGGGAACAACAAACACTGGGGCCTGTTGGGGTCAGGAGGGAGAGCATCAAGATCAATAACTAATGCCCACAGGGCTTAATATCTAGGTGATGGATTGATAGGTGCAGCAAACCATCATGGAACACGTTTACCTATATAAGAAACTTGTTGGCCAGACTGGTCTTGAACTCCTGACCTCATGATCTTCCTGCCTTGGCCTCCCAAAGTGCTGGGATTACAGGTGTGGCCACCATGCCTGGTGGCTATTTCTCTTTTTAAATTCTCTCAGGATTCCTAAAATCTCAAAACTTTGACCTAGATTCCCTAATCTACATTTCCAGCTCTGACCATTTTCTTGAGGTCTCTTCCTTCTAGTACACATATTATAGAAAATATTCTCAACCACATGCTCATACATTGCTAATTGGTGCAGATTACTTTTGTAGATAGTGAATGTTGTCTATTTTATGTTGGTTCTCATTAATGTTACTTTGAGTATACTATTATTTTCTAATCTCAAAGGGGGACTATCTCACTGTTATGATAGTAACCAGTATACTTTGTCCTTTTTTCCTTGCTTTCTTCTTTTTTGGACCAGTATACTTTGTCCCTTTTTTGTTTTTCTTTTTTTCTTTTTTTTGAGATGGAGTCACACTGTGTCATCCAGGCTGGAGTGCAGTGGCACCATCTCGGCTTACTGCAACTTCCACCTCCTGGGTTCAAGTGATTCTCCTGCCTCGGCCTCCCAAGTAGCTGGGACTACAGGTGTACACAACCACACCTGGCTAATTTTTGTATTTTCAGTAGAGACAGGGTTTCACTATGTTGGCCAGGCTGTTTTTGAACTGCTGACCTCAGGTAATCCACGTACCTCAGCCTCCCAAAGTGTTGGGATTACAGACGTGAGCCATGGCACCCAGCCCTCTTTTTCTTTTATGATGAAAACTTTCCCATGAGAATCATATTATCAATTGTTTGCCTTTGTTTTCTTTTAAAGAAATTCCTTTTCCATAGAGATATGGCATGATGAAAGTCTTGTTCTAAAGTTTATTTTGGGGGACACTTAACTATGTCATTGGGAAGCTTCAGTAAGTAGAGATCTCCCTTCTTCTCACTCAAGATTCTTCGTCTCAAAATGGGGTCCACCAAATGTCTTAATCCAGGTAGTCCCTTGTTTAGAAATTCATGAAATAAGAACCTTCTCGAGAAGTTGGAGGCTATTGATTGAGATGGTTTAACGCTGCCCCTTATTATATGTTTTACTCCCAAGGTAGACATCAAAGTGGCTAATAATTCTATGACTGATGTCTAACTCACTTCTATGGGAATCTATACAAAACGTTTTATTTATGAGACAGAGTCTCCCTCTGTTACCCAGCCTGGAGCACAGTGGCTTGATCACTGTTCACTGCAGCCTCAATATTCCAAGCTTAAACGACCCTCCTACCACAGCCTCCCAATGTAGCTGGGACTACAGGCGTGCACCACCATGCCTCAGATAAGTGTTTAATTTTTTTTTTTTTTTTTTGAGACAGGGTCTCACTATATTGCTCTGGCTGGTCTCATACTCATGGGCTCAAACGATCCTCCTGCTTCAGCCTTCCAAAACCAGGTGTTTAACTGGGGACTAACACGAAACACTTAGAAGACTACGTGGAACATAGTGAGCTACATAAAATATTTGCTATTAGCATAATAATTTTATTGTATATCTTAACAAAATTGTGTATTTTAGGCAGGTGGCATGCCAATGAAAGTACTCTCCTATAGCTGCACTGAATCATTCTTACCACTGAGAGTTGCAGCAAATGGGGGACATAATTTATAACTTACTTTTCTCTCTGTATGACTCATTAGGCAATGACTATGTATGTACTACAATGTAAACAGCACCTCCTGGATTGAATAGTACATAACTGACATGACCAGCAGAGACAGGCTAAAGACACTGAGCTGAAAACCCTGGACTCTATTGTTAAATCAAGGCTCCTGAATCCGTTCCCTCTGAGCAACTGTTGCTGTGGTGCTGCCTTCACAATCACTCTGCTGAGCACTCAGATTGAGGTGCTGTGCTATCCGTCATCGGACAAGCTGCACCCAGAACTGTTCAGCTGACAAACTGGTAGCAGTCCAGAAATACAGTTCTGCTGCATAGTGAAAAAAGGCCAATTTAGATTCTTTTTCATAGAGAGAAAAACATAAATATGTGATTTAACAAGTCTCCTGTATTAAACTAATTGGTTTAGATTTGATATATAATTGCTAAAAACACACTTAGAATATAAACCTTACTGTGTCAAGGTCTCAAAGAAGAAATAATTGGTATGGTATAAAGTATTGAATTGTATGCTACAAACTTCTAAGCTAAAATACTTTCAATGTATGCAAGGATAGGTGGCATACATATTATATATTATTCCCCCATTAAGCAAATTTATAATGAGAGAAAATTATCTTCCATAAAAAAAGCCATGTAAAATTAAGAACTAAGTTTTTCTGCACAGACTAGACAATGATTGCTAACACATAAGGTCAATGAGAGAACAGTCAGAGAAAGCTTCATGAAAACAATAAATTGTCTGCCACGTCTGAGTGAATGAGGCTAGATGAACAGAAACTGAGAACGTAGAAAGAATAGCATGAGCAAGATAAGTGCTGAAATCTGCCCAATTAACTCTGAGGATAAAGTCCAATGGCAGAGAAATAAAAACCCGTGTCCACATAATAACCTGTAAGTGAATGTTCACAGCAGCATTTTTCATAAGAGCTAAAAAGTGGAAACTAACCTAAAGGTCCATCAACTGATGAATGAATGGAAAACCAGTATAGCCATGGAATAGAATATCATTTAACTATAAGAAGAAATAAACTACCAATGTGTGCTAAAACATTATGCTAAATGAATTCTGAAAACATTATGCTAAGTGAAAAAGCCAGTCACAAAGGACTACGTATTGTATAACTCTATGTATATGAAATAAGCAGAACAGGCAAACATATGGAGACAAAAGTAGATAGATGGTGGTTGCCTACAACAGAGGTAGGTGGAGGGACATGGAGGAAGGCTGCAGTCATGCCTAGGAGATGTGGGGTTGCTTTTCAGGGTGATGAAAATGCTGTGAATATACTAATAGATACTGAGTTGTACATTTTAAATGGTTGAACTCTCTGAAATGTGAATGTTATCTCAGTGAAATTGTTTTTAAAATCCAAAGGCAGGATCAAGATAATTTTCTCAACTCTCAATTTTTGATGTACATGTTATCTCAAATTTAAATATTTCCACAGTTTTATAGTATATTTTAAATAAAAGATAAAGAAAATACCTAACTTTTCAAATAGTTTGCAAATTAACCTAAAACATGCACTTTTAAAAGAATAGTATAATGACCTTTCTGTACAAGTTAACCTAGAATCTGTGAAATAAATAGACACAGATTCTGTGTCCACTCACAAAAGTGAAGAAATAAGACAATTTTCTGGAACATTCCATGAAACATTCTTCTCTGATTTAATCTGGCCTGCCTCATCAGAGCAATACAAAAATTACTTAAAAATACTGTTTTAACAGGACAAAAGTCAGTTTTCTATGAGGAATGATGTATAATTCTCAACTTTTCCAAGGGTACATATTGTAAGAGAAAAGGTATGCAATGGTTTTTCAAAATGGTAGAATGAAAGTCACTATATAAAAAAATAAGTACATTATAGAGATAGTAAAATGGAAATAATTCATTGTAATGAAAATAAAAAATCAAGCTTCTGCCATAATTAGTATCCTAAAACATGTTATGTAATTCAACTAGCTACAGAATAACAGTTGACATGCTAAGTTCCATACATACTTGACTTTCCACTTGAAATAATTTCTTCTTTGGGACCTGTGTCTCATCCAAATTAATGTGATAATGTGATATGCCTTCCAGTGGAGACTCTAACATAGTTAATTTTTTTAGGCTGTCAGCCGCTTCTTGTTGAAGTTGTCTCACAACCACCTGAGAAAAATATTTTTGTTACTGATTTTATAAATTGCCTTATTATTAAATTATGTTAATAATATTTAACTCTAACATACCTACTTTGAAAATTATCACCACACATATCAATTCACCTTCTTTTAATCACATGTACACATTTTTATTTATTACTGAATTCAGAGAGGGATGCACAATATGTTCTCTTCCTGCCAAGTTGGTATTCTCTTACTTACATAACAGATTCATCCCACCATTCAATCATCTTAGAAGCTCAACTCAACCTCAAAGTTCCTGACATATTCAATCACCTGTTCAAATCCTTCCAACAGATTCCTATCTCAGAATAAAAGTAAAATTCCAATGGCCTTTGAGGTCCTAGGTAAACAGGTCTCTACCTCTCTCTCTGACTTCAAAGGTCCTACAACTCCCTCCTGTAATTACTCCATTCCCACTGTACGTGAAGCCTGCCACCCCTCAGTCTGAAAATAGGGATCTAATGCCTTACTCATAAATCACAGGCAGCTACAAGTATCTTTGTACTGAACAAAATTATATTCCAATGATAGTCATTGAGCCTTGAAATAAAAATTAGGAGCTAATTATTAATATAAATATTCAAAGTAAACTATAAATACCAGTGGGAAGACTAAACCAAATATAGTTTTGCTAAATATTACCACATGTATCCTAAATTATGATTTTATAACAAGCAGGTGTCTTTATAACATTACATAGTCATAAAAATATGTAATTTGACATATTTTCAGATTTGTTAAATTAATATGATTAATAACAAAGATATACCAACTAAAATACATAAAAAGTTACTTAAAGCAAGGTATTACAAGACACAGCAATACACTTCAGTTCATCTGGGAAATCTAGAATTAAGTGTCAAAGAAAATCAGTTAAATTTTAATTTGAAAATACTCATTTCAGGTGTAAACATTTCCATTTATACTTACATTATGGTCTTAACATGTGGCAACATAAAGTCATTAAAATTATTATTTCAGCAGTACAGAACTATCTACCTTAAAATATGACTCTGTGCCTAATAAAATTTCATAGGTGACACAATGTCTTTTCTCAAAGTAAATCATCTCTCACCTCTACCTTTTATTTCCTAGAAATGAGGCACGTTTCTAAGCTGGTATAGTAAACACGGTTTTCCTTTTTTTTTATTAAAACAGCTTTGTAGAAATATAATTTACATACTATAGAATGTATCTGTTTTAACTTAATGTTAAAAGATTTTTTAGTCCATTTACTGAGTTGTGCAGCCATCTCTACAATCCAACTTTACAGCATTTCCATCACTGCAAGATCCCTCACGCCCATTAGCAGTCACTACCAGCTTTCAGCCCCAGCCCTTTGCAAACATTAGTCTACTTTTTTCCCTATACATTTATCTTTTCTGGATGCTTCATGTAAATGGAATTATACAGTATGGTGAACACACTTTTTATCCATTGATTTTTATATTCAACTAAGTTCAACATGTATCCAGAACCAAATGTTTAAATTTTCTTTCCAAAAGTTTGAAAATATTTATCTTCCTTGATACTTACTACTCTTTCTGCTTTCTCTCTCTCATATTGAAAGAGACTTTCTTTTAAATGATCACATTCATTCATTAGCTTCTTATTTTTCTCTTCTAGCATGAGGTCTTTCTTTCCACTCTCAATAAAGCCTCTTTGGATATTAGTTACTATCTCTTTATGATCCTCTTTCTGATGAACATCATCTAGTTGCTGTTCAATGCACGGATTTTCATGTTGGAGTTGACATATCCTCTCTTCTACACAGCTCCACTTTCCAGTGGAATTATTCACTTTAGCTTCTGCATTTTCATACATCTCTTTCATTTCCTTTATTTGCTGCTGTGTTTGGCTTAGGTCGTTTGGAGAGTTTCTAAAGCCAATGACTTTTTTCTGAGAGTATCTCTTTTCTTACGGAACTTATCTTTTAAGGTATTGAATTTAATTTGCGTTTTAGAAAGTTGTTCAGTAAGAAACTCATTCGTATCTTCTACTTCGGAAATATCAGAACTGATTTTTACTTGTACGGAAACATCTTGTGTTCACTCTAATGCAAGTTTTAGGTTTCTTTCTGTTTTCACACTTTCACTGTGTTTACTTATAGCAGCAGTCAGTCTAGACTGATGATTCAATTTCAGCTTCCAGTCTTTTGTTGCTTTCTTCTTCCTTCAACAGTTCGGAATTGAGCCTTGTATTCTCAGCTTTGAGATCACTAAGCTCTTGTTGATACCGGAATGCTGTTTTTGTTATCAATTCCTCATTGAGTTTTATATACTTTTCAAGGGCAGCATTTGTTTTTTTAACAATTTTAACGTCCTTAAGATATTTATTTTCTTTTTCCAGGTTGTCATTTTTCATTGTGCATATTTCCTGTCTGAGTATAGCAATATCTGTCTTCAAAATTCAATTTTCATCCATCAGATCTTTCATTTCTTCGTGATTACGAAAATCCTAAATAAAACAAAAGAAAGTTTTAGCTAGTACTCAATAAAATAACATATCATGATTACCTCTGAAGTTAAAGAATAACCTGCACGTCCATATACTAAAAAGGTTACTGTAAGTGGATATCCAACTGGAGAAAAAGTTGAAGCAAAACTTTGAACCTTATAGAGCATAAGTTCAAAAAAGTTCAGAAATTTATTTAAAGTCAATGAATTTATAAAAGTAAACACACACACACACGCACACCAGAGAATTTTTAAGAATTTCAGAATTGGAAAAGCCTTTCCCTGAATTACAACAAACTCAAAAGCATAAATTAAAGCATTAACAAATTTGACTAAATTAAAATATATCAAAAAATTGCATTTACACTTTGATATCTAACCCATACACTACCCTATAGTAAGAACCTTACTTCACACGTATTTGGACAGATAAAATTTCCCAGAGTTACTACAGTTCTGTTTCACTGATAACATTCTATTTCAATTTGACTCTTTTAACACTTTTATAGTCAGTTGTAAGAATTACATTTACTAAATCATAAATCTAGACATTATACTAGTCACTCCTGTATACATTCATTGATGAACTCATCTAGTTACCACAATTTTGAAAAAGAAATGTTAAAAATATAAGCAAGCTACAGGATTTTCCCCAGGACTTCTGACTCTACTTCTAGTTCTCTGACAGATCACAGTTACTTCTGTGGTGTAAAAGTATCAATAAGAAAGAAAAGTTTTCTTTCAAAACACCAATGGTAAATAAGATAAAATTTATAGAGCTCTTCTTAGAATATCATGAGATTATTTGTGATTGCAATAATTTATTTCCTCTTTATAGTATTAGGTACAGTAATCAATATGAAATAGCTGGAAGTACAAGGAACAATTTTACTGGGAACAAAATCTTTATCAATAGGTTATCACTAAGTATATATTATGGCATATTATTGTTTTCAAAAGCTCTTTGTAATAAAATAATATCCTATGTGGATGCCAAGATTTATAATAAATATTAATAATTGTACCTGTAAGTGTCATCATTCATTTTTTGAAAATGAGATAACATTTCTGGTTTGTTTTATACCAAAATATTATATATTAAATCAAGAAGATATTATAAGTGACATTGAAAAAATAAAGTTTAAAATATAGAATTTTTACCAAAGATTGATTTATCTGATTTGGAGTATTTCTTGTAGTCTTCAGTTTCATGTCTAGTGATTGAACAGTTGGTTCAAGTTGTTTCGCTTCAACTTCTTTCTTATATTGTTTCTCTTTCCTTTCTAATTCTTCTCTATTTTTTTGTACAGCATATTAACATTTGTTTTTTCTTCACTTTCTTGTCTTAAGATGCATCTGCAGATAAAGACATTTATCTTAAAATTCATTTTGTTAAAAAACAAAGAGATCATCCTGTAATCTACCTCTGCAGATGCTATTTATCATCCTAATAAAATTTCTATGTTCTGGATTATTTTTCCTTTGTAGTTCTCAGATATTTAATTTCTCACTCCAACATCTTCAAACGAATGTATATACTTGAAAAGTAGTAAGGAAAGAATATTCTGCTAAAGTTTTTGTTACTAGTCACTCTAGTATGTATTATAAAAAAGGATACTGGAAATAATTCAGTATAGTTAGAAGTTCAAAATTACCTTTTCAAATCACACAGTCATAATTACTCCCCGATTAGAAAAGATCATTTACAATCAACTAAATTTTTAAAGTTACTATTTATTGACAAGCGTGTAAGTTCACTAGAAATAAATTTTCATCTCTATGAAATATTGTATGTGTCTCTCCAAATGATTTACACAGTAAGATGTCTCTCACACAAACTATATCTGTAGATGATTGTCATCTAAAACTAGGCTAAAGAGTCTAACATCTGTTACCCCACACTTTTTATAATTCTTTCTTAATACTTCCAATTCACCTTCTTATTACATATATTTTATATATTTATTAAGCTATTGTTCATTATGTGTAATATATAATTAATGCCCTTAATAAGTGTGTGTATGTTTACACAAGTTATGTTTTCCTGTGAAATCTAGTCCCAGAAGTGGAGTTGATGAGTTAAAGGGATGTCAGGTTATTTGAAATTTTGATACACAGCACTAAGTTACCCTTCAGAAATAATTTACCAATTTCATATACCAACAGTGTATGAGAATGCCTTTTTCCTCACATTTTCAATGGTAGTAATTACTTTTTCAATATCAGCATGACTTTACAAAATATATCTTATTTTATGTTAATTTGCATTTTTCTGATTACCAGGCAGGGCTAAATATCCCTGGTAAAACTATAAAACTTGTTAATCATAAGGAACATTAGTCCAATTTTGAATTAGTTTATAGCACAATTACAATTATCTGCTGAGAAATACTGCTATAGGTGGCCAGGCACGGTGGCTCACTCCTGTAAACCCAGCACTTTGGGAGGCCGAGGTGGGCAGAACACCTGAGGTCAGGAGTTCGAGACAAGCCTGGATAACATGGTAAAACCTCATTTCTACTAAAAATACAAAAAATTAGCTAGGCATGGTGGTACATGTCTGTAATCTCAGCTACTAGGGAGGCTGAGTCAGGAGAATCACTTGAACCCAGTATGCATAGGTTGCAGTGAGGTGAGAACACACCATTGCACTCCAGCTTGGGCAACAAGAGAGAAACTCCATCTCAGAAAAAAACAAACAAACAAAAAACAAACAAAAACACACTGCTATAGGCTTACTTACCTATCATGCTCTTTCTTCAGTTTCTTGGGAAATTGCTGAGGATACGTTTTCCCAACCTTTCTTTGTTTGGTTAATCTGTCAGCAGCAGCAGAAGATGTACTATGACATACATTTTCTGATAGTTGTATTTTTTCACTTTTGTTTGTATTATTTCCTTCTTTGACCTTTAATAAAAGTAATATGAATAATAATTATTATTTTATTCAATAAAAAAACTTTTTCCCTGATTTTTTCACTTGATTCAGGTTAACTATCACCATTTTAATGATAAAAGTATTTTGTGCTTACTTTAATTTTATCATTATACATAATAATTATAAGATACTTATCATTTTATCATTGAAATTTTTGTCAAGTCTGCTCATTTCTGTTTGAGTGAATGGAATAATTTTCCAAAATTTCAAAAAGGACTCTTCTCCATTTTGTGCTTTTATTCGCATCCACTCTTTGCTATCTGATATAAATGTTTATGCTATCTGACTGGCAGAAACAGAGAAATAAAAAGACACAGGCATAACATATATCTTCTGTCATTGCCACCTGGATTTTACATGAAATAGCCAGATTAAGAGGATGTGACCTTGTAGGCCTTCAGGAAGAGTAAAGAAGTTTTCCTTTTCTGCACTGAGCTATTCTTTTCCCTACTGCCTTTTATCTCTCTCTTTTTTTTTTTTTTTTGGATCCTGGGATATCAAAAAAGTGAAAGTTCTCCCTGAACTATGGGAACCAATGTTTGTCACAACACAAGAAGCAGAGTGAAACTGCTGAGTTTCTAGTGCAGAATTCTGGAAAACGAGATGCTTCCCAGATTTCACATTCAATTACCACAAACGTTTATAGGTGGAAAACAAACGGTACACTTATCTACTATAGCTCCATTATCTACTGAAAATGGGAGTCAAACCAACCAAGACATATGAAATGTTTCATCCAGAGCTCTTGAGGTGGCATTCCCTAGCATTTCACGGCACCAAATAGCATGATATAATTCCATATTGCTGAATTACATAAATTACCAGATAAATTTATCAAATTAGTCAGATATATTAAAAGTCTAACCTGAGCAAAGCAATTTAACACCTCAGAGGGTGGAAAAAGGCCTCATCTGCTTTTACTTTGAAAGAAGAAAATCTCTAGATTTTTGCCTATCTTTAGAACACAATGTACAGAACTCAACTTTCTACTAAAGAGTCAAAGGCTAAATTTTTAGCTAAGAAATTATGCTTCTTTCTTACATGATAAAAATCATACTTGCCAAAACTTACCATACTTTATTAAACAACATAATGTAAGGTCTGATTCAACAGAAATATTGGAGTGGTGATTTTTTAAAATATGTGGAAGTATATATTTGTTTTCAAAATATTGGAAATAACCATGATGGAACTATAAATTCAAACAGTTTGAGCTAAGCAGATAAACTGGCGTGCATGAAAACACATTAAACAGACTCATTTGGCTGGGAATATTCATTGCAACTCTCAAGGCTAGACGTGTTTTTGTGGCTCATCTCAGTCATTGCTTCCCTCCCATTGTATTCCCATTCTATCATTAAATAAATGTAATTCATCTCTAAATGAATACAGGAAAAAGAATCTAGAATCTAAAGCTTATTTCTTTAGCAATTTCTTTATGTTGATCTGGTTCAGAAGGTGACATGGTATATGGCTGAATTAGTTTCCCAGCTCATATGCCACTTGGAAGACTGAGAGTGAGACTTAGGTTGATTAATGAAGAAACATTATGAGAACATTCTCCAGGACCGTTGTTTAGATAGCAGGACTAATCTACTTTGACACATAATTACACATTTAGAAAACCCCGCTGTAACTGTACACATGAGATTTTCTTGAATAGAAAATTTGACTAAATCAAATAATTGATAAAGAGAAAAAAGAAGCAGCAAGTGAACCTCTGTCTTTTTGAAGTTGGACTTTCTCTTTCTCCAAAGCCAGGAACTCTACTTGTAACATGCCTACCTCATTCTTTTTACTATTATTATACTTTAAGTTCTGGTACATGTGCACAATGTGCAGGTTTGTTACGTATGTATACATGTGCTATGTTAGTGACCTTGGAATATCTTGCTGTAAGTCTTCTAGCTATATTTTTGATGTTCTCTCACTATGTGGCAAAGAATAACCCGCATTTTATAATTCAAGATTCATGGTTTTGTAGTTATTAACACTGGGATTGTCATACAGCGGCTTCTGGAATAAGCACTGTGTTGGTTTTCTGTTTTTATAAGTATCTGTAGCAGCAGAAATACTGTGACTTTCTATCTGAATCATATGCTTCATTTCTTTGGGGTGGGTAAACCACAAATCAAAAAGACTTTCTGGATCTCTAGACTGAGACCAATGCCTAATGTCTAATTTCCAATTAGTGGTATTTGGGTTTATATATTTTTCCATTTGCATGTCAAACTCTTAATCATCTTTCATTTCAATCATAATTACTGGGTTCCTTACTTTTTCAGTTTCTATATCATAACAAAAATTTTCATCATCTGTGTTAGAAACAAGCTGTGTGTCTGGTTTGTTATCATTTTTATAGTCTGATTTATTTTAATTTAAATGAAGCTTAGAAGATGACTGGTAAGTGTATTTCAGGGACCTGGAGTGTGAATGGAATAAAAAGACATTTGACATGGGCTTCCTCTGTTCAGGCGCTGCCTGGACTGCCACAGAGCTAGACCCTCCAGATACATTTTTCTCCTCACAATCAAGGACATGATTCATCAGACTAGAGGGCACTCCTTTTTTGTTCATCCCTCTTTAGAGTTACCATGTAGGAGCTCTTCCTCAGGGCAAGCAGTAATTTTGGAGTTTTCAGAACTTTTACCAATATTCAGCTTGAACTTGTTTGTAATGAATTTTAAAGAAAGTCATGAATATATAGATTGATTCCCTTTATCACTGTTCTTACCCAGTTCTGGTTCTTGAGACTTTTTTTTGGGGGGGGGCAGGTGCAAAATGGAAAACAAATTTGCTTGTTTTGTTTCTCAGATGTCTTTTCTGTCAGAGTGCATGTTTTAAAATTAGCTTTAATCAAGTATAAACAAAGAAATATTAGAAAATAATTAAAATTTAACTGTGAAACTTAATCTATGTGTTGCTACTCTTAAATTATTGGATTGTAACTAAAAAGTGAAAAATAGTTTGCCTTGGCTTAACATAGGACAGAAATATGAAACAGCAAGCTGAACTCTTAGTGTCTGTTTGGACTAAACTTAATGCATTTGTGTAAAATCTACCAGAAATGAATTCAAAGATGATAGGTAGTATTATAAAAGCTTCCTCTCTTACAAAGACTTTACCTCAGCATATCAGAAAGAGTGAGCCCCTACAGTGCATGTTTATTTCTGAAGATTAACTAGAGCACTAGGCAAACACTAAATTATTAAGAGCTAAACTGAACACCAATAAGAAAGAGAAGCAAAATTTTAAATTCTAATTCAAATGATATACTATGATAGTGTTATGTATCTAGATAGAATTTCTGCTTATATCCACTTCTAATATATTTTAAGTTCCGGTAGTGATAGGGTTTGGATTTTTTAAATTTTAGTAATGTTTACTATGTATTTATGTTGAAATAAAGTTATTGTTCACACCCTGACACCAAAGGTCCCATTCTGCAAGGTAGGATTCTCTTAATGGGCAACTGCATTGACTTTTATGACCCCATTCACTCCCTGAACACAGACACAGAAGTCAGCTGGTGACCACAAAACAGAATAAATCTTTAACCTCGGCACTGGTGACCAGCAATATAAAACTGCAACATTTGAAACACTGGCAATGATGATTCCTTTAACACTAGTTTAACTCAGTGGTCATTGTTGTTAAACTGTTCATAATTTCTATTCCTCAGTAATATGACCCAATACTTCATGTTACCTTGTGTATTATGAGTAAGGTTACATAAATAAAACAGCAAGATAATTCTGAAAATTTCTTGCCTCAATTCCAAGGGTAAAGACAACTATGAGTTACTAGAGATACTAAGAATTACTAGAATAACTAATAGTTACTAGAGATAGTAAGAATATCTTAAGTTTCATAACTGGTTAAGATGTTTTAAAAATTAAATATAAAATTATGATCTATTGGATTCTAAAGGTATAGTCTGAAAGGTCATGTCATTTGGACTGTGCTTTGTTAGTAAAGCAAAAAAAAAACTAATATTAAACAAGAACTTAAATTTTCATATACCTGTGATTGCTTCTTTTCACTTCTTTCACACCTTTCTTGCTCTTCCTCTAAAGCCACTGGTAAGGTTTGTTCTGTTGACAAATTCATTGATTTAGTTCAAATGAACTAAGAAGAGTTAGATAAAGACTATAATCTTTATAAAAATAAATAGAGAATAACATTTCTTTGTATTTTATATTTTGAGAGTTTGAATGAAACAATGTTTACTGAAATATTTACTTCTGTAAGAAATACTTCTAATTATCCAAAACTTCAACAAACCACTTGGGGAGACACCAGATATCACCAGATTCAAGCCATGCAAAATCTCAGGGTCACTCACAAATTGTTCCACCCAACATAAGTCAACAAAACTGTTGGAAACAAAACAGAAATTTGAAATACAGTCAAAATATACAATGTAATGCTTTACTATACTTCATAACAGTATCTTTTTAACAAGACACTAATTGAGTTGGCAGTTACTAATAATTTGCAAAATTATTGTTGTTTATACCTCAATTAGTGTGCACCCCATTTTTTACATCACAAATGTTTTCCCCTGCTATTCTGAAAAATTTATTTTCATCTTTTAAGACTCAGAAAGTAGGCTGGGCATAATAGCTCACATCTGTAATCCCAGCACTTTGGAAGGCCAAAATGGGAGAATTGCTCAAGGCCAAGAGTTTAAGACCAGCCTGGGAACCATAGGTAACCTTGACTCTACAAAAAATTAGACAGGTATGGTGATATGTTCCTGTTGTCCCCGCTACTCAAGAAGCTTAGATGAGAAGATCCCTCGAGCCCAGAAGTCTGAGGTTTCAGTGAGTCTCAATCATGCCATTGCACTCCAATCCTGGGTGATAGAGTAAGAACTTGTCTCCAAAAAGAGGAAGAAAAAAAGGCTCAGAATGCTATGTGAAATCTTCCTTGATTCTAGCTATCTTTCTCCACACACACAGGTGTCTGCTTCGTTGGGGTCCCTTAGTACCTTGTCAATTTTTCTAGTGTCACTTTACCACCTGACCTGCACATCATGTCTTTACATGTTGACCCCCTTTGCTGCTAGACTGTAGAGGACAATCTTTTGAATCATCTTTGTATAAACAGTCTTAATTTTGCTAAATAATTACTTATTGAGTTCCTGCTAAGTGTTAGGCACTGGGGAATAAGGAAGGAAAATAGAAGCTGTCAGGGATGGCTTTCCTAAAGATCACCCATGAGCTGAGACTTAGAGAGTGAGGTTAGCCAGATTAAGTGAGGCAGAGGGCAGGAAAGGGTGAGCACATGCCAGGCGGCAACAAGAGAGGAAGAGAAGCCTCCAAGAGAGTATGTATTTCTCTGCAGAAGAGGAATGGTGAGGGGCCATTACCAGCATCTCAGTAATTCCAGAGATAAAGGCAGTTGGGGAAAGGGATACAGATGGAGATTTGGGCAGAAATCAGTTTCCTTTCCTTTTCTTTTTTGGGACAAGGTTATACTCTGTCTCCCAGACTGGAGGGCAGTGGCATGATCTCAGCTCACTGCAACCCGGCCTCCCAGGTTCAAGTAATTCTCCTGCCTCAGCCTCCTGAGTAGCTGAGATTAGAGGCGCGTGCCACTACCACCTGCTAATTTTTGTATTTTATTAGAGATGGGGTTTCACCTTGTTGGCCAGGCTGGTCTTGAACTCCTGACCTCAAATGATCCACTTGCCTCAGCCTCCCAAAGTTCTGGGATCACAGACATGAGCCACCTTGCCCAACCCAGAAGTCAGTTTCTGAAATCCTTATATAAACCTTTAAGATGCTTGGACATTAGGTATTCAGGAGTGGTTCACGGATCTATTTGCATTAGGGATAATTCACTCTAAATACTGTGAGGAGCATAAAATTCTGAGGCATATAAATCAATGAACAAAGATAAAATATAAGGCAATGTTGCAAAGATGATGCAGGCCTGAGGAGATGTTTTCAGAAATATTTAGGATATAGGTATCAGTGGCCATTATAAGAATGAATTTCTATTGAATAAATAAATGTATATATCTGGGTCCCTGGAGAAATACACTCTGCTCATTACTTTACAAATTTTATCAAATGAGAAGTAAAATAATATACATAAACTCTTTCAGTTACTTGTATTTACTTTACCCTTTTTCTGTTTCAGTTTTACTGTGCCAAGGAAATGCATTTGGGTTTTGTGGTGGTTGTTGTGGTTGTGGTTGTTTTTGTTTTTTGAGATGGAATTTCACTCTTCCTGCCCAGTCTGAAGTGCAGTGGTGTGATCTCAGCTCATGGCAACCTCTGCCTCCTGGGTTCAAGCGATTCTCCTGCCTCAGCCTCCCTAGTAGCTGGAATTACAGGCATGTGCCACCATGAACAGCTAATTTTGTGTTTTTAGTAGAGATGGGTTTCTCCATGTTGGTCAGGCTGGTCTCAAACTCCCAACCTCAGGTTATCTGCCCGCCTCAGCCTCCCAAAGTGCTGGGATTACAGGCACTAGCCACTGCACCCAGCAATATATGGGGATTTTGTTTTAAAAGTTCTGTTTCCTGGATCTACCAAGCTCATGAGAAAATAGAGCAAACAAGTCATTTGCATAGGTAAGAAACTTTGGATTTATAGCTTGTCCTCACTACTCTAGAAGATTATCATCATGTTTTGCAAAGCAAAATGTTAAACACAGACACAAGGGGAAAAAGAAATTAAAACTATAGGGGTGGGTGAAAAAATATTGCATAATTTATTACTGTTGACCTCATCATATGACTGATTAAGGGCACTGAATTTAACTTGGATGTGAAGTAGACCTCATATTAGCTGCAGTTAATCAGTAGACCAGGCGTCCTAGCAGAATTAAATTTGATGCTCCTGTGTTATCTTTAAAAGACACAGCTTTTCTGAAAACCCTTACTCATAGTGCATGATTATCCATTAAGAAAAGGTGATGGAATATGTGAATACAGCTGAGGAGACACCACAAGGCAAATGCTAAGTGGTTCCCATTAATATTGCAAAAATCAACACTATAAAACAGAAAGCCATAGACATTATTTAATATTTGGTTTTGGGAGGTATTTTTAGTGACACTGCATACAGTTGTACCTAATAATTGCTAAATTAGAGACGTAAAAGTAAAACAAAGGCACATTGTGTTTGAGTAGGAAATCTATAGACATCTAGCTGGTTTTCCCATCCAGCCGCAAAATTCTAAATATAATCATGGTACCTGCACTCAAATTTATGTTAAATACCAACCTCAATGAAATCACTCTTTCTTCTCATTCTCTTTGTTATTTATATGTTGCTTTCCTTAAGGGAAGAATACAAATGCCTTGCTAAGAACCATTCTGTTTGGTTGTAGGCTGCATAAGAGGAGTAAACACAAAGTACATTTGACCACAAAATGACTTTTTAAAAGTCAGAACTATGGTAGCATGAAGCCAAACGAGGTAATCTAGAATAAAATTTTCTATGCTTCTTTCCCTTCTTTGCTCTCTTGCTACTCTAATAACTGCGATTCACACAGGTAAAGAAGAGTGTAATTCCTTGATAGAAACACAGCTCCAAGATTAATCCTTTCTTTAACTATGAAGTTCGCGTGTCCAAAATCTGTGGTAGTTGCTGTCTGATTTTTGATCACTGATTGTGATACAGATATTTATCATCAACTCACAACTTCCCAAATCTTTGAAAAGTCTTACTATTGATGGTTCAACTAGTAGAAACATGATGTAAAATATCTGAAAATAAAGTTTTTATTTATTAGAATGTAAATAATAATACAAATTGTAATAAGGTGTAAAAGTTCTTTCTTCACTGAAGCAGTGTGGGGTTGTCCTCTACCCCACAAATGCACTACTCCCCCTTGGTCTAATGTATTTTAAAAGTCTTGTAATTGCTATTAACTCAGACAAGTTTACTTAACTTGTTCTAAGCTTCTGGTATTTACTACAGTTTACTTTCAATCACTCAACCATCTCTGTTATATATGTTGTTTTCCATGAGAAATTTGTTTATTAGTAATTAAGATTCTTCAGGTATAAGAAAATATTTGAATAACTAAGTTTGTGCATAAACACATTAAGGTCAAATATCCATGACATTATTGTGTGTTTCTGTGTACTAGAGACAAAAACTTCAAAAAAAATTTTAATGAATATACGTTAAATTAAAAACTGCTTTCATTAAACTGAGATAATCTTCCCTCAATGCATGAATACCTTCAGAATTCACATAGACCAAAGAATTGTATAAAATATAATAGCCTTAAAAATCTTATTTGTAGCTGGCACAATGACTCCCACCTGTAATCCCAGCACATTGGCAAGCCGAGGTGGGCAGATCACCTGAGGTGAGGAGTTCAAGAGCAGCCTGGCCAACCTGGTGAAACCCCATCTCTACTAAAAATAGAAAAATTAGCAGGGTATGGTAGCACGTGCATGTAGTATCAGCTACTCGAGGGGCTGAGGCAGGAGAATTGCTTGAACCCGAGAGACAGAGGTGGTAATGAGCCAAGACTGAGCCACTGCACTCCAGCCTTGGTGACAGAGCAAGACTCTGTCTCAAAAACACAAATAAACAAACAACCTAATTTTTCCCATATAAGTCTATGTTCATACAAGATCTGAAGAGTACACAACACCGTGAGACAGGACAGACATATATTTTAAAAGTTATATTCCTGGTTTCTGTAAAAATAAAATAGTTGAATTTAAGCTTTCAAGACAAGTCAACGAAAAGAGAATGCAAAAGTGAAACTCGAAAGGTCATTTCCCCATCAAGGGCTCATGATCACTGGACATTCACAAACTATATTGTTCAAAACATTAGATCTGAATTTTGATCCGAGTATCCCTTTAGTAGCAGTTTCATTCAAGGATGTCCAAGAGGTAAAATAAGACAATATCATTTGCTATTTTCAGTTTTCTTTTCTGAGAACAGCCCAGCATTCTTCTTCAGAGAAATGAATTGTGCTAACTTCATAGGCTAAAGGCTCATGAGTTCTAAGGGTATTAATAAAATATGGTGGTGTATGCTTGTATTCTGAACTTTTCAGGTTTAAACTCTCATATAGTAAATGCTAATAGATACAAACCGATTAAAGAAAAGCCCTCTTAATCTGACATTATTTTTCTTTTTATTTCTTCATTTATCAGCAACAGGAGAGTCTAACTAAATGTGGTAAAGTGGTATGAGGGAATACAATGAACAGTGTAAAATGAATTAAACCAGGGATAATCACACCAATGTGGGTACAACTGGAAAATATAATACAAAACACACCAAAGAAAGTGGCAGAAAGGTATATAAAGTGTATAACCACTCACATACCATTTTAGGACACAAAAAATTCTGCATATTATTTCTGAGCATCACAATGTAGTTAAAGATTTCAAAAGGGCATTGAAATGAAAAACAACCAACTTATGATGTTGGTAGCCTCTATGCAATCATGTTTTAAAAACTTTAACACCAAAAATGCTCAAAATCACCATTTTAAAAGACTGTGTCTACCAGTCATAAATGAATCATTACTTTCGTCATTTGTAATAGTCAAAGATGCCACAAGCGCACGCATACACACATCTATATATACACCTACACACACAGTCTTGCTCATTAGAACATCTGATAGGCTTCAGATCATCAGTGTAATAACACTAGCAGCAAGCCTCTGAAGTTAAAACAGAAACTGACACTTTAATAAGTAAAGCTTTCCTCTAGGTAAAGATCAGAACTCCAACTAGCACTTAACTCACTGGAAATATCTTAAGAGTCTCAAAATTCACTGCTTTGAATCCCTGACAAGTATAAAAATTTTATACTGAAAACTTCATGCTATTCAAAACATTAAAACAGAAACATCTGACTTAAAGCTTACATTTTTAAAATCTTTTTTATGCTTCTAAATTTGTTTTTATTCAAATATGGATACCAACAATAACATTTATGTCAATACCTTCTGTTCAATATTGAACAAATAGAATTAGGAATAAGAATAATATGAGTACATCCAATCATTGAATGTACTTTATTTCCAGTATTCCATTAAATGTACCTGCTCTCAATGTCTGTACATTCTTTCTTTGTACTGCTCCTTTCACAGCAGGATCTTCCACTTCAGTGCTAGGCTGAATGGGTTTTAAAAGATAACGATTCATAAATCATATATATTTTATACAACATGGAGTTAGTGATTCAAAAATATACATAATTAATTACCTTCAAGGAAGGATGTTTTGCAGGAGGCCCTACAAAGCAAAGGGGATATGTCATCAATTATATGTAAGTATGACAAGGCCAACCAAACATTCATGCAGTGTTACTGTCGAGCTGAATTCTCAGGCCTGGCTATAAAAATAATTACTTAAGGTTTTGAGGGTTCTTCTTGGCTTCTTCTTTTCATTGCCTAGGACAGCAACATGACAGAAACACAATGAGGAAAATAAGAATATAGGATTCACAAAATGCACAGTTTACATTTCAGTAGTGAGATTATGTTTCAAATGCCTATACTTAAAATAGAAAAGCATTGATATAACCGTGAACATGTGGACTGATGAGGAGAAAAGGGACCATTAAACAGAGGGGCAAATCAAACCTGAGAGAATCAATGTCAAAGCTGATGGTGAATGTACAGAGTATTTTAACTCCACACACCAGAGGCATTGCTGGCAGCACAGCACAAATAAATTCCCCTTGTCTTGTCACTGAGGAAATACGCAGTTGGGATGACAGTTCAGGTGAATGTGTGATTCACCTCTCATCAAAGAAAGGGTTCTACATTGATCAGCTAGGATACACACTTATGAAATAACAGCTAATCAAACTACTCATTTTTCCCATGATCACATGGGCTACTGCAGCACCTACATTTCTCCTATCCCCTCATTTGGCCTTGAATTAGAGCTCCTTGATCCACTCATGCAAGATGGTCCATAAAACACATCAAATAAACCATGTCGAATAAGCTTCTGATATGAAAATATTTATCAAAAAAGAAAACATTAAATGACCACAGACTTGCTGGATATTAATACATATTTATATTTCAAAATCAGTGCAGTATTTATGAAAATGATAATTTTGGTTTTCATGGAATGAATTTTATGATTACTTCTAAAATTAACTAAGTTTGGTATATTATCTTACACTGTAAAGGACTTTTATAAAACAGCTATCATATCAAAGAACTGGCTGTCTCAAAAAAATTTCGCCAAAGCATCTATATGCAACTTAATCATATCTTATTCACTCATGTCAGTGAAACTTCTCCCCCTGAGGCCTGACAGATATCAAGTGAAATGAGCTGCTGTGGTTTACCCCAACTCTAGCACTCCCTCCTGTCTCCAGTACTCTCCACAGCAATAACCTCTTTTGTGAGACTGGGCATATGCTGAAGCAACTGGAAGTGAGTTGTCTCAAGTTAACTTGGCTTTAACTCCCAAGACCCCAGCAAATGTCTTTCTTTCCTCCTTTTGTGTCCTTTCACCATCCCTCTTCCTTTGAAAAAATGATTATCAGAACTGTCATCCTGATGTTTCCCTTCCTAACTGCTTTTTATGGATGATTGTGACCACTTTTTTCATCTGTATTCAGCAGTAGTATACACCTGTAATCTCTCTTTTTTCATCTCATTTTCCTTCCCCTGTGGCTAGAATCATGCTCAGAAATAAAAGGAAATTAAAGCTTTCCCTGGATTCTGTTATCTTTTAAATTGCTCTCCAGTGGTTCTTTTTCCAGATTTCTCTAAAGGAAGGCTATTCCCTTGCTATTCAGAGCTGTGTCCAAGGACCAGCACAAACATCACCTGAGTGCTCATGAGAAATGCAGACTCCAATACCTGCTGAGTCAGAATGTGCACTTTCCAGAAGCTCCTCAACGAATTCATGACAATTTGAATGCCCTGTTCTACACTGGTGTGCTTCCATATTGGTTTACCCTAATTGGCCTTTTTGGCCTAGCCTCAACTTCTTTCCTATTATGTCCCTGAATTTAATACTACGTTATAAGCCATAATGTTTCTAATGAACTTTTAATCAGGCAAAGCTTCTCTAATTAATTTCTTCCCAATAAATCACCCAACACTATTCTTTTCAATTATGTTAATATGATACTATCCTATGAAGTTACAACATTTTCTATGAAAACAAATTACAGTCATACATGGCTGACCATTTATGGTGATGTTCATCTATGGTAGATAAAACACAGGTCTGCATGGTAAAGTACCTCAATCCTTAATGCCTCCCCAGTAGCGAGAATGACAGCAAGAGAAGGAAAATGTTACTGTAATTATATGACACATTTTGGTACTGGAAGCTCACTTTATCTTCCTTCCTATTTCTAACACCCTGTTCTTCCTTCTTCTACAGATCAATTTGACTTTACTACCCTCCATTACATACATCCACTTTTTTTTATTTATTCCATGTACACTCTGCCCTCCTCATTCTTTCTTTCTCTTTTATTCATTTCCTCTTCCCTCTCTCCTGACTTGCCTCAGGTCTTAGAGTATGTTAAAATGGAACTCATAACTCAGCTCCTTTAGTGGTACTTCCAATAGAATCAACTGCTGACCCTTGGTTAGAGACACCACTTATCAACATTTCATTTCTCTTTTACTTATGATACAGTTAATAGGACATTTTCTTTAGCTATTAAACTCTATTAGTGCTCATATTTTAAAAGAAACATTCCATCAATGCCTTTTTTTTTTTTTGAGATGGAGTCTCACTCTGTCACCCAGGCTGGAGTGCAGTGGCACGATCTCCGCTCACTGCAAGCTCCACCTCCCAGGTTCACACCATCCTCCTGCCTCAGCCTCCTGAGTTGCTGAGACTACAGGCACCCGCCACCATGCCCGGCTAATTTTTTGTGTTTTTAGTAGAGATGGGGTTTCACCATGTTAGCCAGGATGGTCTTGATCTCTTGACCTCATTACCCGCCCACCTCGGGCTCCCAAAGTGCTGGAATTACAGGCGTGAGCCACCGCGCCTGGTCTCCATCAAATGACTTTTTAAATAAAATACGGTTCTCACCTTTTCCTTTTCCATTGACTATTCTGTTTCCTTTTTCATGAGAAGGTCCACGTAAAGGCTCTGACACTTTCTCGGGGACACACTGCTAAGGTAATATCAAGAATTAGTTTCCATTTAAAATTATAATGAGTTGCATCAAGAGTTTCTTATCAATCTCTTTTTATGAAACTGGGTCTCACTCTGTCAACCCAGGGCTAGAATGCAGGGGCCTGATTATGGCTCACTGTGGTCTCAAACTCCTGACCTCAAGCAATCTTCCCACCTCAACTTCCTGAATAGCTGGAACTACAGGTGCATACCATCATGTCATGCTAATGTTTTTATTGTTATCTTTGTAGAGACAAGGCCTCATTATACCTCCCAGGCTGGTCTCAAGCTCCTGGGCTCAAGCAAATCTTCCACTTCTGCCTCCCAAAATGTTGAGATAAGCAGTGTGCACCACCACACCCAGCCCTAATCAATTTCTTTAAATCAATCTCAATGTTGCCCAGGCATGGTGGCTCACACCTGTAATCTCAGCCCTTTGCAAGGCCAAGGTGGGTGGATTGCTTGAGTTCAGGAGTTGGAGACCTGCCTGGGCAACATAATGAGAACACATCTCTACACAAAAAATACCAAAAGGAGTCAGGCATGATGGTGTGTGCCTGTAGTCCCAGCTGCTTGGGAAGCTGATGTGGGAGGATCACTTGAGCCTGAGAAGTGGATACAGCAGTGAGCCAAGATCATGCCACTACACTGCAGCATGGACAACAGAGCAAGATCCTGCCTCCCCAAAAATTTCAATTTAAAATGTGAGAACAAAGAGAGATACAAACAAAAAACAAGCCTAATTAGTCAATGAAATATGAGCTTAAGCCAAGAAAGAAAATGAAAAACATGAAGTACAATAAAGTACATGGGGAAATAGATCTATAACAGAGCCTTCGGTCTTTCATAACTCTGATAATACTAATTAATATTTATGCTGCAATTAGTTTTTTGTAAGTACTTCTGTGATAGTGTTTCTTACTATAAGACATTCAATTAACTAAATATGGTCATCTACCATTACCTGAAAGAACATTATTATAACAGAGAGAGAAAACTGGAACTTTCCATCAACTTTCCACCCAGAAAAAGAATTGGTCACCAGAATTCTAAAGAGTAATGTATGGCAGACACATGAAAAAATGCTCATCATCACTGGCCATCAGAGAAATGCAAATCGAAACCACTATGAGATATCATTTCACACCAGTTAGAATGGCAATCATTAAAAAGTCAGGAAACAACAGGTGCTGGAGAGGATGTGGAGAAATAGGAACACTTTTACACTGTTGGTGGGACTGTAAACTAGTTCAACCATTGTGGAAGACAGTGTGGAGATTCCTCAAGGATCAAGAATTAGAAATACCGTTTGATCCAGCCATCCCATTACTGGATATATATGCAAAGGATTATAAATCATGCTGCTATAAAGACACATGCACATGTATGTTTATTGCAGCACTATTCACAATAGTAAAGACTTGGAACCAACCCATATGCCCATCAATGATAGACTGGATTAAGAAAATGTGGCACTTACACACCATGGAATACTATGCAGCATAAAAAATGATGAGTTCATGTCCTTTGTAGAGACGTGGATGAAGCTGGAAACCATCATTCTGAGCAAACTGTTGCAAGGACAGAAAACCAAACACCACATGTTCTCACTCATAGGTGGGAACAGAAAAATGAGAACACTTGGACACAGGATGGGGAACATCACACACCATGGCCTGTCATGGGGTGGGGGGAGAGGGGAGGAATAGCATTAAGAGATATACCTAGTATAAATGACGAGTTAATGGGTGCAGCACACCAACATGGCACATGTATACATATTTAACAAACCTGCACGTTGTGCACATGTACCCTAGAACTTAAAGTATAATAATAATAATAAAGAGTAATGTATGGCTTGAAACGGTGTATTTAATGGAATATGAGTTGGGTTTAATAAAAAGCTTAAGAAATATTAATCTAAAATCTCAGTGTTAAGATTCCAGTTGAATGATACTAGAAAATATATTGTAACCCTCTTTGCTACCGATGGCCTATTTCTATTTTACTTCCTTTTTAATTATGGCATAATTTCTCAACATAACATGTCAAAACTTATACACCGTTAAATATTAAAAAATAATACAATGTAAGCAATATTTTAAATACAATATTTAATGATTAGATACATTAGGTTTATTATATTACTTATAACATTCCATTATATAAAAATTCATTTGTTTATTTATTCAGATTAAACAACTATTAAGGCTGAATGTCTCATGTCTGTAACCCCAGCACTTTGAGAGGCTGAGGCGAGCAGAACACTTGAGCCCAACAGTTAAAGAAGAGCCTGGGCAACAAGGCAAAACCCTATCTCTACAAAACTCAGCCCAGCATGGTGACACAGGTCTATGGTGACATAGCTCTATTGTTTCAACTACTTGGATGGCTGAGGTGTGAGGATCACCTGAGCCTAGGAAATGGAGATCGGAGTGAGCCAAGATCTCACCAGTGCCCTCCAGCCTGGGTGACAGAGTGAAACCCCATCTCAAAAAACAACAAGTAAAATGCTTCTTACATGGAAGACTGTATTCTAGGTACTCCAGGATACACACAAATATGTTTACTGACCTCCAGTAGCTTATGGTATGCAGGAGCTTCCAATGATCATTTAAAAAACTAAATAGAAAACCTTCTGACATTCAAACTTTCAGAATATGATATAAGGACTTTGAGTGGTTATTTTATTTTATTTTATTTTTTAAGATGTAGTCTTGCTCTGTCATCCAGCCTACAGTGCAATGGTGCGATTTTGGCTCACTGCAATCTTTGCCTCCTGGGTTCAAGCGATTCTCCTGCCTTAGCCTCCTGAGCAACTGGGATTACAGGCATGCACTATCATGCCTGGATAATTTTTGTGCTTTTTTTTTTTTTTTTTAAGAGACAGGGTTTCACCATGTTGGCCAGGCTGATCTTGAACTCCTGACCTCAGGGGAGCTACCCACCTCGGCCTCCAAAAGTGCTGGGATTACAGGTGTGAGCCACCACGCCTGGCCAAGTAAATATTTTAAATAAACTACAATGACAAAATTATGATGATAAAGACTTACCATATTGGTATTAAGAGTCTCTGCTTCTAGAACTGGTTATTTGCAGGAAAATACATGTTATTCAATTAGATGAAGTGTTTTATATAAACTCTTCATGGACAACTCATAAATCACATAAAAATCCCTTTGCAATACAAATCTTGAGAACATAAATTTAAATTTCTACATTTCCACAATTTATATTTTTAAATCAGATACAATGTTACCCAGGCTGTTCTCAAACTCCTGTGTTCAAGCAATCTTACTGTCTCAAACTCCCAAGTAGCAGGGACTACAGGTGTACACCACCAAACTCAGCTATTTTTCTACAACTTTTAATACTTTTTTAGTCTCACTACAGAACCAATAATATAAGTAGAGAAACAATCTCTCCTAAAAACTATATGACACCAAAATGATAAGTTTCCAAGAACAAAAGCTATATGTTATGTGCTGAACATTTCTGCCACTAAAAATTACCAGGAGGATTCCATGATTACTGCAAACAATTTGATCCACTGAAGGTTTATACAGGAATAAATATTAAGAAAGTCACACTCGTATGATTTAAAAGTCAAAGTATTAGTATTTATCCAAATAAACTTTAACCAAATTTCATATTTCCTCTATTGGAGAAAGCATTTCCTAATGTGATTTTCCCGTGACTACTTATTTTCCAGTTCATTTTTTTTCAGCTCCCACCCTGTCACAGTACTTACCAATCTTTATTAGTTACCAAAGTTTAACACATTTTTTGAATCAACTAGCCATGTGTATGTTTTTCTCTGACCAGCTTTCCATTACCACCATAAAACAATGATAGGTAAACCACTGCTAAATTTGAAAAGTAAATACTATGCAAAACTACACTCAGAGTGAGAAGATTAATTTTACAAGAGACCACTTTACCTTAGTAGCAACACTCAAGTCTTCATCATCCAATGTAGGCAATGAATCCACACACAGTTCATGCAAAATGCTTGAGAGCAAAAATACACAATGAAAATGAGCAAGTTGATTTCTTTACAATTTTTTTAATTGCCAGTTTATATCCAGCTTCCCCCTCAAAAAAAGGAAAACATAATCTGGGGAAAGGTCAGTGATCTATATATTAAATTATGATTCTTGATATAATTAAAATATGTCCTCTGTTCTAAAAAGAGATTTTAGTTACCTATTTCTGCCTCCACCTGTCTAAATCTATAAAATATTCAATGAAAGCTAACCTTGAGGTTTATAACAAATAGTGACAGTCAATATATTGGCAGAGCCTGACAATAATGTGCCCTCACAAATTATCTGTCCTGAAGCTGAACTTAAAATTCAATTAATGGATGACATAAATTTTGTTCCCTAAACTGGAATAAAACTGATGACCTAAAACAAGGTAGAAAGATCCACTGTCTCTTTTCCATGATCTGTCTCTGGATAAAACACTAATCTACATCACTTCAAAATGGTAGTCTTGATTCCTCAGCATGGATCCAACTTAGGAAGGTCCTATTGATTTCCTTTACCCTAAATTGGTACAGGAAAGCCCCCACAATATTTGAAATGTATGAAAGCTAAATGTACAGAAGTCAAATAGCAAAGATGTATGTTCTTATTGAGAATACTTTTCCCAGAAAGATTAAAATATTAACAATTATAAAATCCCATTATTTTCACTCTATAGGTCCTACCTTATTCAGGTCCACATAAACTAGCAAGCCCTTAAAAATTTTCATAGGCACTCAGACACCCAAGGAGAGAGACTGCCAGAAAAGAAACAGAGTCATGATAGTTGTACCTCTATTTCCCTAAGTACTATCTAAGTATATTTCTTCCTATGGACACCCACTTCCAGATTCTACTTCTGCAGGGTTCCACAGAAGTCTCCAGTCTTCAAATCTTCAGTGTATGAAAGCACAGATTCCTGAAAGAATGGCCTCAAATGACCAGGAGTAGGAGCTCTCTATATCCCTGCTCCTGAAAAACAAGCTAACTGGAGTCTCCATCACCTGCCACCAGCTATACACACTACCAACTACCCAACTGAACTCCATGACTGATTTGCCAGCTAATCATGCCCCTGACCCAGCCCACATGGACATGGGAAGGACATCAGTGAACTGTGAAAAGAGGCAGAGGTGAGGAGACACCTGCCCTGTGCCACACATCTATGTAGTTCAGCAATTTCCAGCCCCTTAGTACTCCAGGGGCTCTAAGCCACCCCTTTGTAAGTCAGGATGGAAGTAGATGACACCACATTTCTATCTGCTGTAGACATTCTTCCCAGTGTCTCAATATGTTTTGGCATCTTTCAGTAAAAATCTTCAAGTTTGTCAGTCCTTGATTTAAAAAAAAAAAAGCAGCAAAATTTTTAGAGCTCCCTTGAACCTTCTATTTTAATGTGCCTTTGTAGATAATTCCCAACATCTTGTGTCCTTCATTTTTATAATTTATCTTTATCAAACTTGTCATAAACCCCAATACTTTGATCTCTTGTAGAAGAGTCCGTACTCCTATCCAATCCAGTGTTGTTTATCTTCAAACTTGGACTGCCCCTGCTCATTCCATTCTTATCTACTTCCATTGGGTTCACCAGCTAATTCCATTCTCATTCTATCCACAGACTCACTCCCGTTTGTATTATGAAAACACACGCCAATAGGACATAAAAAGAAGCAAGAGTACTGGGCTTTACCATGAGTTCAAATCTCATTTCTGCCAATTCCTATGTCTAAAAAAAAGCTTCGTAATCTCTTTGAGCCTCACATTCTCTATCTAGAGAATCACTTGACCAGAATGTTCAACGCAGAGAAAAATACTAGAAGGTATTTTAATTCATTCCAAGATTCCTTAAAATTCTGTAATTCTATGTCCTCTTGATTCTGTCTATAGAAAAACTTGGAATACATGGGCAGCAGAGTTTGAAAAAATAATAGAACAAAAGAAACACCAAGAAAAACAGAGAAGAAAGTTTTAAAAAATGAAGACAAGATTATATAAAAGTCATGGAAAAAGCAACAAGACTAAAAAATGTATTATGGAAGTAAGCAGAAATACTTGCCTAAATGGAAAACCAAACTGGGAAGTCAAATAATTTGTCTCTAAGACTTGCCTAAACTTGCTTTGGTAAAACTTACAGTCCTATGGCCAAAGCTAAGTCAGATCTGCCCTAGAGCCTTTGAAGGTAAAAATAAGATACTGGTTACCACTGAAATCGTCAAATTTATTAGGACTAACCACATTCTAACAATAAACTTAAATGAGAGTTCAAGGTATTTAAACTCTCATTAATTTAGAAGTTAATCAAATTAATGAATCTGATTGATCTGATTCAGACCTATACTTTGATCCAAGGGCTGCACAGATATCTATCAATCTATGCTGAGGAGCAAGAGAAAGGATTTGGAAGGCAGACAGGCTGATGGTCAAACTGTAGGCCAGCTACTTTGTTAACTATGGGATCATGAGGCAATTAATCAGCTCTAATCCATAGTTGTTTATTTAACAGTAGGTTATAGGAACACAGATGTTATGATGGCTTTATGAGATGATAAATGCATAGAACATATTAGGATGTCTAGCCCAGAATACAACACTCAACAGATATTAGTTTCTTCCATCTATATTTTCTTAGTTAACATAATTTTTTAAATCTATGAAATCTTACCTGACTGCAGATTCATCAGAAATTCCAACATCTATTAAAGAAAAAGGTAAAATGTATTTTAAATCAATAATAAATGTACAGAATATTAAAATCATAAGAATGCACAGTGATGCATGCCTCTAATCCAAACTACTTGGGAGGATGAGGCAGGAGGATCACTTGAGGAGCCCAGAAGTTTGAGACCAGCTTGGGAAACATAGTAAGACTCTACCTTCGTAAAAAAATTGTGCACACTTGTGTGTATGCTTTAGATCCTGTTTTTTGTTGTTGTTGTTTTGGTTTGGTTTGGTTTTTTAAAGCATAAGACTGACGTTTTGTTACAAAGCATTCCTTTGGGAGCATGCCTGGGAACTTATTAGAATTAACATTCATTATAAGTATTGGTAGGTAATTAATGCAGTAAGAACTCTTCCCTCTGTATTTATTAGATGCAAAGAAGAATAAATTTATTAAAATTTGGTATCTACAAGTGAACTGAAGTATACAAGTCATCCTAGCCAAAGCCTATGAGATTGAGTAAAAATGGTATTGTTAGCAGAACAGGTGTGATGAGTCAACAGTGTCAAAGAGCATGATTTCTGGACCAAAATATGAGGGGCCATTACAACAGAGTATACACTAGTACCCCTTATCCACTATATGCGCAGAAAGACATACTTGACACGTTTTTCTCTGCTGTCACACCACAGCAACAATCATCAACAAAGAAGGCTTCTGTAACCAAATGTGTGGAGAGTTTTTCCCCACCAACAAACAAGCAATCATTCCTGCTGATGACACAATTCAATTCTCACACCCTATCTACAGATAACATCAGATTTAATTTAATTTATAAATTAAACTTTGTCATAGATATGTATGTATAGGGAAAAACAGCTTGTGATTCAGTAATATTCATGGTTTCATGCATGCACTGGGGGTCTTGAAATGTATCTCCCACAGTTAAGTTGTAGTTACTGCACTTATTTTGTTATAACACCACACAGCCTCTCTAGCTCTTCAGTTCAAACTGTTTAGTTTAGAATAAAACATGCTATCGCCAGAAACCAACAAAACATAGGAATCAGACCAGAAACAGGAATCCTTGCAAATACTTTCCAGCCACCAGTGGAGAAGATCTCAAGAGAGATCAGTGTGTTACTCTGGCTAATACTCTTCTGGGTAAGGTGCTGGGTGGTTTCCTTAGTTGTAGCTATTTGCTCTGGCCTACGTATAACAAGCCCCAAATTCACCTGCCATTTTACCTCCCACAGAAAGAACCACTGGAAAGATCACTCCTTTAAGAGCTTATCCACATTCAGAGAGAAGCTGAATAAACACTGGGGAGGTATGGCAGGCTGTCGGGCAATATTATCTGATGTGAAAAAATATATAGAAAGAAAACTATCAATGCCCTTTTACTACCAGAATGTTCTAATGCTTGCCCATCTCCCTAGTAGGAGAAAAAAATTTTTTCACCTCGCATAAAGCAAAACTCCCTTGTCATCTCTCATGACAGAATCTAGTTGTAGGTGAGTCATGTCATCATAATACAGGCTGTTGTCAACCTCATCCCTCAAAGGAAGAGGATCAGTGAGGAACTTATGTATTTACCTAATAGCATTCACTGCCTGGTCTTATTTCCAACCGAAGGTAAGTATGAAAGACTTTGTGATTCCAGTTTTATAAATCACAACCCTTTGCACTTGTCCTCTTCCATTGCTAAAGAGTCTATCTGGACCCACCTCACAGAGCAAGATGCTCCAGGTTGTGCTGTGTAGTACGGAGTGGTGTCCTTTTCCTCAACCCTTTCTATTATGTGCCACATATCTATACAAATCATGTTTTCTAAGTATGTAAATCATATCTCATCAGAATACATCATTCTTTACAATGATAAAGAAGCAAAAGAAAAACAAAAGGACAAAGAACATCTTAAATGACTACATTCAACTGCCATGGAGCTTTAATTTTTTAACTACTCAAAAAGATATCCACTCTTCTTATTCCAACTATATGACTCTTCTGAAAAAAGTAAAACTATGAAGACAGAGTAAACATCAATGGTTGTCACGAGTTGCTAGGGAGAAAGGGAGAGATGAACAGGCATAGCACAGAGAATTTTTAGGGCGGTGAAACTGTTCTGTCGATAATATTACAGTAATAGATACATGTCATGTCATTATACATTTGTCCAAATTCACAGAATGTACAGCATCAAGAGTGAGGCCTGATGTAAACTATGAACTTCAAGTGATTATAATGTGTCAATGTAAGTTCATCAGTTGTAACAAATGGAACACTCTCTGGTGGAAAATACTAATAATGGGGGAGGCTATGCGTGTGTGGGAGGCATGGGATATATGAGAAATCTCTGTACCTTCCTCTCAATTTTGCTGTGAACCTAAAACTACTCTAAGAAACAAGGTTATTGATTTTAAAAAAATATTCAGCTGGGCTCAGTGGCTCATGCCTGTAATCTCAGCACTTTGGGAGGCAAAGGTGGGTGGATCACCTGAGGTCAGGAGTTCAAGACCAGCCTGGTCAACATGGCAAAACCTCATCTCTAATAAAAATACAAAAATTAGCTGGGCATGGTAGCTGGCACCTGTAATTTCAGCTACCCGGGAGGCTGAGGCAGGAGAATCGCTTGAGCCTAGAAAGCAGAGGTTGCAGTTAACCAAGATCGCACCACTGCACTGCAGCCTGGGAGACAGAGTGAGATTCTGTCTCAAAAAACAAAAAAGATATTCACTGTCTATGCATCCCAGGATCTCCAGAACAACAATTAAAATAAATAAATAAAAAAGATGGCTGGGGGCAGTGGCTCATGTCTGTAATCCCAGCACTTTGAGAGGCTGAGGTGGGTGGATCACCTGAGGTCAGGAGTTCGAGACCAGTCTGACTAACATGGTAAAACCTCATCTCTACTGAATATAAAAAATTAGCCGGGCATGATGGTGCATGCCTGTAGTTCCAGGTACCTGGGAGGCTGAGGCAGGAGAATCATTTGAACCTGGGAGGTGGAGGTTGCAGTGATCCAAGATTGTGTCATTGCACTGCAGCCTGGTCAACAAGAGCAAAACTCTGTCTCAAAAAAAAATAAGTAAATAAAATTAAAAATAAAGATATTCACTGAACCTGTTACTATGATATATTTAAGCAAGACACGGTGACCCTAAAAATTAGAGATCATTGAAGACCAAAGTAACAACATGTGGTCATTATTTCTCAAATTGAAGTATATAAAATATATAAAATAAGTAAATTTAATTGCATGCTTAGGTAAGAAAATATTGATAAAAATGATTGAATATTTTATCTTATTTCATAATTCTAAGCAGGGCTTTAGCACAATATGAAAACTAGATTATTCATGTAATCCAAATAAAAGACAATTTTTATTCTAATTTTAACTCAGAAATTATTTTGCTTATTTAACAATTTTACTGAAAGGTAAATGAGATAAATAGGACAGATTATAATTACCTAACATTGCTATGGTAACTTATGTACAAATAGCTGTTCGTCACCGAAAGTCAAAAAAGTAACCAGCGCTGCAACTTAAGATGGATCATACAACAGAAATTAGTACCAAGTTACCTTATCTTATAATATGTTATTAAAATGAAATTTTAAAACAACACCAAAAATTAAGTTGGGGCTATACAAAGTGTGCAGAAAAGATTTCATATAACAGGCAAGAGACTGCCATCCTTAGAAAGGCCTGCATGCAAGGCTGGCCCTTGGCTGGTGTTTAGGAAATTGGAATTGGGAGGGTTTCCACCATTCCCTGAGAAGAGTGGCTCACTGTGTCTAAAGTTTTTATAGAAACCGCCAATGGGTGAAATCTAAAGCAGCAGCTGGTGTATCCATTAACATTCTCAAAACAGGATGCATCTGGACCCCTGTGTGCAATCTTCATAGCACACAGACACTAAACAGAAAGGCAGTCATTGCTGCCAAACAGGACCCAAATGCCACACACAGTGCAATGAAGCTATAAGCTCCCTATGGAGAGAAAAGTAGACAAATCAAAAACATTCAATATCCAATCCAAGTCCACATTAAATCTTGATTCCAGAAACGTGCATTAACCACTTCAAAGACTAAAATTTAAACCATCTTTTCTATAGCGATTTCCCATTTGGTTGGCAGGCATACAGGGGTAGAGAATGATTTAATTTACTTACAAGTATTCAGAAAAGATAGTGACCTCTACATTCAACCAGCTACAGCAGCTTAGCACCCAGCCAAAGCCTGCATCTCTCCCACCTTAAGATTTAGTGGTTGGCTAAAGTTAGCAGCATCCAGGCCACATCTATCTCTGCATTCTAAGTTTGCTTACAAGATAAAGATACAAATGCAGGCTGGCTCCAACCTAGCCAGAGATCCCAGCCCCACTCTCTGCATCCCAAAATCCCTCAAAGACCCAAGAGACTTTCCAGATTTCTACAGTCTCCTCACAGGTTCCCTTGACAGTTAAATGCCCTCTCTTTACCTCAACTAGCTGCAGGTAGAATATAATGGGTACAACAGAAAATCACTGTAAGTGTAATATGAAGATACACAGCCCTTTTAAGCATTTCATTATATTACATCTAGCTTACCTCTAAGGGATTTATTCAGATGTGACTGAAGAAAGTCTAAAGGGAAAAAAAGCAATTTAATTTGATAAATTAAATTATCAATTATAGCCAAATTATTTGGCTATAACAAATTAAACATTTTAAGCAGACAGAAGATGCAAACATTTTAAGTTGACAGAAGATATAAAATGTTCACTATCAAAATGTCGCAACTGATAAAAATGTTCTCAAATATTTCTGTCTCAAACTTGCATTGTTCATTAAGGAAGCAAAATAGGTGGGACATACACAGCAACAACATCCCTCAAAAAACACCTTGGCTCATTCCTATAAGCCAGGCAGCAAATACATCATCCTTACATATGTTAATTACCTTCCAATTTCAAATTCTCAACTGTGAAATAAAGGGCCATTTTATTTGGCTGCTTCTAGTTCAATATGACTGTTTTTATTAAAACATCTCTAACTTGAAAAATATTTGGTGTTTTCTAAAAAACTGCAAATTGCCACAAATGGCCAGATAATTTGGAATAAACACCCTACAGAAAAAAATATATATTCAAGTTGCATAAGTCACTTTGAGCAATCCTTTGAGGATATTTCATTTATATCTAAATGAACCACAGGTTTAGCTGGCTTTTCCGGAAAACCAGAAGCAAATAATGTATGATTATAATGAAAACCATCTCAAGTAATTTTGAAATGAAGTACCACATGTCTTATGCTGTCCCTTCCATGCACTTGACAAAACAGCCTATAACAAATTGTTTACTTTGAGATTTAACGGGAAAATTCCATGAGGTTTAAAAGAGATGACTACTAATAAGCCATCTACCTTTGACTCTATTCCAATTAAAAATGGGTTAGGAAAGTGCTTTGAAAATCAAGTGTGTTCATCAGGGAATCATTTACCTAAGTCTTCTTAACACTGCTTAGTGAATATTCAGCCTGATATAGTAAATACACGCTAACCACTGAATTGAAGGGGAAAGAGGGAGAACAAAGAGACATGTAAAGTACACTTACTTTTTCTAGTAGGAAAAAGCCAATTAAAACTATCACCTATTAGTTTTATTGGAATCAGTCTTACAGGAGTTCAAACTTCCTACTGTTGCTACCTATTCTCAATATTTTTCTTATTTCTTCCTAAGCTTCTAGAGCCGTGCTGTCCAATAAATATGTGAGCCATATATGTAATTTTAAATGTACTAGTAAGCCCCATTAAAAGGTGAAATTAATTTTAAATATACTTAACTCAGTATGTCCCAAATAGTAATCATAGTAATAATTTTAACATGTAATCAATATAAAAAAATATCAAGCAGATATTCTTCGCTGTTCTTCCCACTCCAATGACAAAATCCAGTATATTTAACACAACATATCTCAATTAGGACTAGCCAGGATTTCAAGTGCTCAACAGTTACAGGTGGCTAGCGCCTACTGAATTGGACACTGCAGTTTCAGTGCATTGAATTTCTATCCCACTTAGCGCTAATTAAAACTTCACCCTCTCACCTGATAATTATGCTAAGATCTCAGAAAGTAACCCACTACAGGCAGTTTCAAGCCCTAATTTACCTCTAATTACTCTTACAGCAATGCAATGAATCATGATTTAAAATTTAAAAAAAAAATTGCTGTTAAATTATTAGTCAAGCGCCCAGGGCAATGGACAGTAGAGAAATAATGTAGGCCACGGGCCGAGATGACAAAACGGTCCTTTTATTTAAAGCTATAACAATAATATGAAGCCAGCCCTGTAAAATAGACATCCAATGAAAAAGGCATGCTAGTTCTTTTGCTTTTTTGTGTACTTGGCCTCCTGTGTCCCTAAACAGACCTCTTCTCAGCAGGGCTTGCTCAGCAAGTCACTTGTTGAGTCTTGCGGTCAACAGAGGGGATAGGGAATGGCAGGGGCTGGCATAGGAGTGAGGGGGAGGAGGCAAGGTGAGGGGGGCCAGGTGAGGAGGGGGGCACTTGAAGGGGAGTTCAAGACCAGCCTGGGCAACATGGTGAGACCACCGCCCCTCACCGCCGCCATCTCTGGTCTCACTCTGGTCTCACACACATGCACAAATTAAATTTAATTTAAAAATTAAAAAATTGTTTTAAAATAAGTGAAATGTTTACATGGATTACGTATACATTCATTTTGTAGAACTATAGATCCCATGTAACTGGGAACTCTTTACTCTTCTAACACAACATTTATTTAGCCACAAATAAAAGACCAGTGATGTAGCCTGTACACAAAAAAGTAAGAAAACACTGGTTAGGCTGGGGCAGGGGTGGGGGGAAGAGATCTACAAAATTAAAATTTTATTGGGAAGGATCACTAATTAGAATCAGAACAATTACTGCTTTAAAGTAGTTAAGAACAGAGCACAAGGAACCCAGAGAAGAAGCAGATATGATTCAGAGCAGAACTTACAGAGCAGATGGTATCTGAGCCGAGACTGATAGAATAACATTAATAAGGGCATTCACGGCCATTTATTATCACTTAACTGCAATGCATTTTGTATAAGTTATTTCTACTCTTCATATCAACCATGGAAAATAATACTTATTCTTCTCTTTTGAAGTTAAAGAAGTGGTAAGTGGTCTAAGAAGATAAATTAACATACCAACACCAAATAGCTCAAGTTCAGTGACTCAAGAGGGCCCGTGTCTCCCCAAGAGGTTGCTCAGCAGGCAGACGAGGTAGAGAGCCCTTCCAAGAAGTGACAGTGAGATGTGAAAAGTCTCAGTGTGTCTCTGAGAACAACAGAAACCAGTGTGTAGACCAAGTGGGAAAAGCCACGGAAGAGGCAGGGATTTCCTCTTAAGATAGCAAGAATAAACAGAGCAGGGCTGAGGGAAGCCATGGAAAATGGGCAGAATACCATGCATTTAGTGAGAAAAAAACAACTTTTACTTTAGAAAGGGGGAAAGAATGGTGGTGGTCTAGGTAAGCCTAGAAGCAGAGGAAAGGGCAATGGAGAAAAAATAAACAAAATGTATGAGTCAGGGTTCTCCAGAGGGACAGAACCAACAAGATGCATGTATATGTATAAGGGAGTTTACCAGAGAGAATTGGTTCACACGGTTAGAAGGCAGTCCCACAATAGGCTGTCTGCCAGGTAGGGAAAGAGAGAAGCTAGTAGTGGCTCAGTCCAAGTCCAAAAGCCTCAAAACCAGGAAAGCCCGCAGTGCAGTCTTCAGTATGAGGCCGAGGGCCTGAGAGCCTCGGGGAAGCTGCTGGTGCAAGTCCCAGAGTCCAAAGGCATAAGAACCTGGAGTCTCATGTCCGAGGGCAGGAAGAAGGGAAGCAAGTGTCCTGCACGGGAAGAAGAAAAAAAGAGAGACAGAAGCTTCAGCTAGCAAGGTTATCCCATCTTCCTCCGCCTGCTTTATTCTATACAGTGCAGCATGTGTACACCACTTCTGTGATATTGTTTCTAATATCCATGGGAAGAAAGAGTGATGTTACTCCCAATAGCATATGGGGGTGTACATCCCCTGTGATATTATTCCTAGCATGCAGGGGCAGGGAAAGGATGACATTACTCCCAATATCGCAGAGGGTGTACTCCCCGCCTTGTGATATTGTTCCTAATATTTAGGGGATAGTGGGTGATATTACTCCCAATATCACAGGGGGTGTGCACCCCCCGTGGTATTCTTCCTAATATCCGGGGTGGGGGGAGAGGTTGATATTACTGTCAATGTCACAGGGGGTGTACATCCTCCCGTGGTATTGTTCCTAATATCTGGGGGTGGGGAGGATATTACTGTCACTATCACAGGGGGTGTAGGCCCCTTCAGTGATATTGTTACTAATATCTGGGGGGGGAGAGGATGATATTACTGTCAATATCGCAGGGGGTGTACACCCCCTGTGGTATTGTTCTTAATATTCGGGGGGGGGGGGAGAGGAAATTACTGTCAATATCACAGTGGGTGTACACCTCTTCTGTGATATTGTTCCTAATATCCGGGGGGGAGAGGATATTACTGTCAATATCGCAGGGAGTGTACAACACTTCTGTGATATTGCTCCTAATATCCAGGGGTGGGAGAGGATATTACTGTCAATATCGCAAGGGGTGTACACCCCTTCTGTGATATTGTTCCTAATATCCAGGTGGGGAGAGGATCATATCACTTTCAATATCGCCAAGTGTGTACATCTTCATTGTGATATTGTTCCTATATTTAGGGATAGTGGATTACATTACTGTCAATATCGCAGGGGGTGTGCACCCCCCCATGGTATTGTTCCTAATGTCCAGCAAGGGAGAAAACACTACTACTTCCAATATGGCAGGGGGTGTACACGTCGTATGTGATACTGTTCCTATATCCATGGGGGAAAATGATATTGGGAACAATATTACAAACAATATCACAGGGGGGTGTACATGTCCTGAGATATGAGGAGTAATATAACCCTCTCCCCCTCTAGATATTACAAACTGTATCACAGAGGGGTGTAAACCCCCTGCGATGTGGAAAGTAATATCATCCTCTCCCCCACTGGATATTACAAATAATATCACAGACGGTGTACATGTGAGGTGTTTACGATATTGGGAGTAATCTCATATCCCCCAGTGGATATTATGAACAATATCACAGAGGGGTGTATACACACTCTGCCTTATAGGGAGTAATATACTCCTCTCCCACCCTGGATATTACAAACAATATCACAGAGGGTGTACACACAGGGTGTTTATGGTATTGGAAGTAGTATTATCTCCCCCATGGATATTACTAATAATATCACAGGGGTGTGTACATCCCCTGTGATACAGGGAGTAATATCATCCTTTCCCAGCCTGGATATTACAAACAATATGGCAGGGGGCAGTACACCCTGGCGATATGGGTAGTAACATCATGTCCTCCCCACGTGGATATTATGAACAATATTCTAGGGGGTTGTACACCCCCTGCAATATGGGGAGTAGCATCATTCTCTCCCCCACTAGATATTATAAACAATATCACAAGGGGGTGTAAACTTCCTGCGATAAAAGGAGAAATATAATTCTTTCCCCCCAGAGATATTATGAACAATATCGCAAGGAATTGTTCTCCCATGCTGTATGGGGAGTAACATCTTCATCTTCCCCCTGGATATTACGAAAAATAATGCAGGGGAATGTAAATCTCCTGCGATATGGGGAGTAAAATCATTCTCTCTGGCCAGGAGCGGTGGCTCACACCTGTAATCCCAGCTCTTTGGGAAGCCGAGGCGGGTGGATCACGAGGTCAGGAGATCGAGACCATCCTGGCTAACATGGTGAAACCCCGTCTCTACTAAAAATACAAAATTAGCCGGGCGCGGTGGCGGGCGCCTGTAGTCCCAGCTACTAGGGAGGCTGAGGCAGGAGAATGGTGTGAACCTGGGAGGCAGTGCTTGCAGTGTGCCAAGATCAGGCCACTGCACTCCAACCCGGGCGACAGAGCAAGGCTCTGTCTCAAAAAAAAAAAAAAAAAAAAAATCAAATCATTCTCTCCCTCCCTGGATATTATGGACAATATCACAGGGGGGTGTACAATGAGTTTCTAGAATATATTTGAGGAGGATGACGGGCGGTGTGTGCATGCTTCATGGCCTTATTCAATTAAACACTCTGCTCTCAATTTATTGCTAAATCCTCCTTGAGCCCTTAGATTTCATAACGGTTGTCGCGACATTTTTCTGGATGTAGAAAACGTTCCCATTTCTTGCCACCTTATGGGCTACACCTTGACCTAAAGTTTTTATGTAGATACTTGTGCTTACTCTGTGGCCTTTCCAGGGTTTGCTGAAGATGGAGGTATTTAGGCTGGGCAAGAGGTGGTGAGGTAAATTGGGGTTTATCGATTATAGAACAGGCTCCTTTAGAGGGATATAAAGCACCGCCAAGTCCTTTGAGTTTTAAGCTGTTGCTTGTAGTGTTCTGGCGAACAGTTTTGTTGATCTAACTATTCGAGTTTAGAGTTAAGCATAGCGGGGTATCTACTCCCAGTTTGGATCTTAGCTATTTTGTCTTCAGAATATTAAAGGCACCTTAGTAGTTATTTCAGCTGGGGTTTTTTTTACAACTTTTTTACAACTTATTTAGAAACTTTCAGGTTTCTAAATATATGAATGAACCATAATATAAGCCTCGGCCAATACAATGCCAGTTAGGCCTCCTACTGTAAAAAGGAAAATAAATCCCTGGGCTCACAGCATTGCGGGGGATCATTTGATATTACCGCCGTGAAGTGTAGCTAGCAAGTCAGCTAAAAACTTTGACGCTAGTAGGAATAGCAATAATTATAATAGCAGAGGTGAAGCAGGCTCATGTATCCACATCTATCCCTACCGTAAATAAACGGTGGGCCCATACAACAAACCGTAAGGACCCAACTGATCCTATAGCTCACTCTAGGCCCATATACCTGAATGGTTCTTTTTTTTTCCAGAATAGTATGTTACGACGTGGGAAATTATCCCAAAGCCCAGTGGGATGAGAATGTAGACTTCAGGGTGACCAAAGAATCTGAATAAATGCTAAAACAAGATAGGACCACCTCCGCCAGCCAGGTAGAAAAAAGTAGTATTAAGATTGCAGTCAGTTAACAATATAGTGATGCCGGCGGCTAGGACTCGGAGACAAAGGAGTAGAAGAACTGCTGTAATTAGTACTAATCAGATGAAGAGGGGTGTGTGATATTGGGACATGGCTGGGGGTTTTATATTAACAATTGTGGTAATAAAGTTAATAGCCCCTGAAGTAGAAGAAACACCTGTCAAGTGGAGTGAAAAGATAGTGAAATCTACAGAGGCACCTGCATGTGTTAGGTTTCCTGCTAAGGGAGGAGAGACTGTTCAGCCGGTTCCAGTGCCGGCTTCTACTATAGTGGATGCAAGTAATAATAGGAAGGAGGGTGGGAGGAGTCAGAAGCTCATATTATTTATGCAGAGAAATGCTATATCGGGGGCGCCAATTATCGGGGGACTAATCAGTTGCCAAGACCTCCAATTATAGTATTACTATAAAGAAAATTATGACAAATGCATAGGCTATAACAATGACATAAATTTGATCATCTAGTAGAGTTCAGCTCGAATAAGACTTAAAGCTGTACTGACTATCCCTGCTCATGTGACAAATAATAAATATAATGTCCCGATATCTTTATGGTTGGTTGAGAATAGTCAACTGTCAGCCAACATAAATGAAGTGAGAAAAAAGGGTAAAATGATTGAGTAGGGCATTAGACTGTACATCTAAAAACAGAGGTCAACGCCTGTTTTTACCAGTCCCAAGGTGATTTTCATGTTGAATTGTAAATTCAAAGAAGCAGCTTCAATCCTGCTTCTCTCACCTTTTTTCCCCCAGTGGCTGGAGAAGTAGATTCAAACCAGTTGACTAGGGAGTTTAGCTGTTAAGTTTTCATGGGTTTAAGTCTCATCAATTTAGTAAGGACTTAGCTTACTTAAAGTGATTGATCTGTATTCAATTGACCAAGGGTGTTCTGTATCTGAGAAAGTACATTTCAGGGTCACCATACAACAACTGTTCAAAAAGGCCTCCAATATGGGACAGTCCTATTTATTATCTCAGAAATATTCCTCTTCGCTGGATTCTTTTGAGCATTCTACCATTCTAGCCTAGCCCCTACTCCAGAATTAGGAGGGCATTGACCCCCAACAGGTATTTCTCCTCTTGACCCCCTGGAAGTACCTCTCCTGGATCCATCTGTATTACTTGCATCAGGAGTTTCAATTACTTGAGCCCATCACAGCCTAACGAAAAATAATCAAAAACATACAATCCAAGCACTACTTGTTACAATTATATTAGATATTTACTTCACCCTCCTACAAGTCTCAGAATACTTCAAAGCTCCCTTTGCTATTTCTGATGGTATTTATGGCTCAACATTTTTTATAGCTACAGGCTTTCACAGAATTCACGTCATTATTGGATCAACATTCCTCAGTCTGCCTTCTCCGCCAATTAAAATACCACTACTTTACATCTAGTCATCACTTTGCCTTTGAAGCCACTGCCTGATATCAACACTTTGTAGATGTAGTATGACTATTCTTGTATGTTTCTATTTATTGATGAGGATCTTACTCTTTTAGTATAAATAGTACCATGATTTCCAAAGTTTTGATAGCATCCAAAAAACAGTAATTCACCTAGCATTAACCCTAGTAATCAACACCCTATTAGCCCTGTTACTAATAATTATTACATTTTGGCCCACAACTTAATATATATATGTAGAGAGAGAAAAAAAAATATATATATAGTATAAAATAAATATATATAGAAAAATCTAGCCCTTATGAATGCAGATTTGACCCTCTATCCTCTGCCCACATTCCCTTCTCCATAAAATTCTTTCTAGTAGCCATCACATTTCCCCTATTTGAGTTAGAACTCGCCCTACTACTACCCTTACTGTGAGCCCTTCAAACAATCTGATACTAATAATCCCTGCGATATGTGTTGTGACTTCATACTTCACCCCCCCCCCGGATATTACGGCCAATATCAGAGTGGAGTGTGCACCCCCTGCAATATGGGGAGTGATATCATCCTCTCCCCACTGGATGTTATGGACAATATCACGGGAGGTTACTTTCTCTGGGTTATGGGGAAAAATATCCTCCTGTCCCCGCCTGGATGTTAGACATATTTAGAGGGGGGTGTCCACCCCCTGTGATATGGGGAGTAGTAATATCCTCTCCTGCCCTGGATGTTATGGACAATATATAGGGAGATGTACAATCCCTTCGATATGGGGAGTAATATCATCCTCTTCCCCCTAAACGTTACGAACAGTATCACAGGGGGGTGTACACCCCCTGCAATATCTGGAGTAGTATCATCCCCTTCTTCCCTAAATGTTACAGAGACTATCACAGGGGTGTGTACACCTTCTGAAACATGGGAATAATATTCTCTTCCCCTCTGGATGTTATTATGGACAACATTACAGCCGTGTGCACCCTCTATGATATGCAGAGTAATATCATCCTCTTTCCCCCGGATGTAAGTGACAATACCACAAATGGGTTTACATCCCCCGTGATATGGGGAGTAATATCATCCTCTTTCCCACTGGATATTAACAATATCACTTGGGGATGTACAACCCCTGTGATATTTGGAATAATATCTTCTAATCCACTGAAAATTATAAACAATATCACCAGTGTACACTCCCTGTGATATTGGAAGTAATATCATCCTCTAATCCCCTAAAAATTATGAACAGTATCACAGGGGAGTGTATACTTCCTACTATATTGGGAGTAATATCATCCTGTCGTCTTCTAAATATTATGAACAATATTACAGGGGATGTAACACTCCCTGCGATATGTGGAGTAATATCATCCTCTCCTTCCCTAAATATTGTGAACAATATCACAGGAGGTTGTACACAATCTGCGATATTGTTTGTAGTATCCAGTGGGAAAGAGGATGCTATTACTCCCCATATCACAGGGGGTGTACACCCCCACTGTGATATATTCAATAACATCCAGAAGTAATATTACTGACAAAATTGCAGGGGGTGTAAACTCCACCTGTGATACCATTCCTAATATCCTGGGGAAGAGAGGATGATATTATTCTCAATATTGCAGGGGGTGTACACCCACCCTATGATATTGTTATTAATACCCAGGAGAGGAGACAATGGTATTACTCACAGTATCAAAGAGGTTGTAGAGCCCCCCTGTGATAGTTTCTAATATCCAGGGGGTGTATACCACCCTTGTGATATTGTTTCTAATATGTAGGGGGAAGGACAATGATATTACTGTCCGTATCACAGGGGGTGTACAACAAGCCCCCCAGGATATCATTCCTAATATCCATGGGAAGAAAGAATATTATAATATCACAGAAGTTGTACACCCCCTCTGTGATATTGTTCCTAATATCAAAGACAGAAGGGTATGATGTTCTTCCCAAAATCACAGGAAGTGTATACACACCCTGTGCTATTTTTCCTAATATCGAGAGTGAGAGACAATGATACTTCCAATATCGTAAGGAGTGTACACTCTCCCCGTGATACCAGGTGGGGAAATGTTGATATTACTCCAAATGTCACAGTGGGTGTACACACGTTTTGCAATATTGTTCCTAATATCTAGTGGGGAGGAGGATTGTATTACTCCCACCATATTACTCCCCACACCCCATCATACTGTTCTTAATATCCAGATTTGGAGAGGATGATATTACTCCCAAAATCTCAGGAGGTGTAGACCCCTTCTGTGATACTGTTTCTTATATCCAGGGGAAGACTAGATGATAGTACTCCCAATAGTGCAGGGTGTTACACGCCACTCCCCATGATATTGTCTCTAATATCAAGTTGGGGAGAGGGTGATATTGCTCCAAATAGTGTAAAGGGTGCACACCAGCACTGTGATATTATTCCTAGTATCCAGAGAAGGAGAGAATGGTATTATTTTTAATATCGCAAAGGTTGCACACCCCCCTTGTGATACTGCTCCTAACATCCAAGGGGTAGAGGACGAAATTACTCCCAATATCACAGTGGGTATACACCCCCCCGTGGTATTGTTCCTGATATCCAGGGGGTATAGGATGATAGTACTATAAATATCGCAAGGGGTGTACACCCCTTCTGATATTGTTACTAATATCCGTGGGGGGAGTCGATGATATTACTTCCAATATCACAGGGCATGTACACCCCCCTTGTGATATTGTTCCTAATATCCTGGGAGGAGACTATGATATTACTGGCAATATCACAGGGTGTGTGCATTCCCATGATATTGTTCCTAATGTCCAGCAAGGGAGAAAATATTACTCCCAATATGGCAGGGGTGTACACTTCCCATGCGATATCGTTCCTAATATCCATGGGGGAAAAGGATGATATTACTCTAAATGTCGCAGGAGTTGTAAACCGCCCCTGTGATATTGTTCTCAATATCCATGGGGGGAGAGAATGATATTACTCCCAATATCACAGGTGGTGTACACCCCTCGTGTTATATTATTCCTAATATCCAGGTTGGGAGAGAAAAATATTACAGGTAAAATAGCAGGGGGTGTACACTCCGCCTGTGATATTGTTCTTAATATCCCGGGGAAGAGTGGACAATATTACTCTCAATATCACAGGATGTGTACACCCCCTTTGTGATATTGTTCCTAATATCCATAGGGGTAGAGGGTGATACCACTCCCAATAGTGCAGAAAAGGTACAGCCCCGCTGTGATATCATTCCTAATATCCAGAGGGGACAGGATGATATTACTCCCAATATCACAGAGGGCATACACCCCCTCCCCATGATATTGTTCATAATACCCAGGGGGTAGAGGATGATATTACTCCCAATATCGCAGTGGGTGTACACCCACCCTGTGATATTGTTCCTAATATCCATGTGGAAAGGGTAAAAAGTTACTCCCAATATCACAGGGGTTGTACAACCCCCTTGTGATATTGTTCCTTATATTCGGGGGAGAGACAATGATATAGCTGTCCATATTGCAGGTGGTGTACAACCCCCTGGGAATTTGTTCCTAATATTCAGTGGGGAAGATGATATTAATTAAAATGTCACGGGGGGTATACAACCCCTTTGTGATATTATTCCTAATATCCAGGGAAAGAAAGAATATTATTCCCAATATCGCAGGGGATGTACACCCCTCTCTGATACTCTTTCTAATATCCCTGGGGGGAGTCTATAATATTACTGGCAATATCATAAGGAGTGTATACCCCCCGTTATATTGTTCCTTATGTCCAGCAAGGGAGAAAATATTAATCCCAATATGGAACAGGGTGTACACACCCATGAGGTATTGTTCCTAATATCCAGGGAGGGAAAGGATGATATTACTCCCAATGTTGCAGTGGTGTATAACCTCCTGTGATATTGTTCCTAATATCTAGGTGGGGAAAGTACAGTATTACTCCCAATATAGCAGGGGTTGTACACCACCTTTGTGATATTGTTCTACATATCCATGGGGAAGGAAAATGATAGTACTCCCCAATATCACAGGTGGTGTACAACCCCTTGTGATACTGTTTCTAATATCCATGTTGGGGGAGGATATTACTCCCAATATTGCACGTGTTGCACAGACCCCCTTTGCTATTGCTTGTACTATGCAGGGTGTGGGGGGAGAGGATGATATTGGGAGTAATATCACCCTCTCTCCCCGGATATTAAAAGCAATATTCAGGGTGGTCGACACTTCCTGCAATATTGAGTATAATATCCTCTACCAACCTGGATATTAGGAACAATATCACAGGGGCATGTACACTCCCTTCCTTTCACCATATACAAAAATCAACTCAAGATGGATGAAGGACTTATGTAAGACCCAAAACTATATAAACCGTAGAAGAAAACTTAGGAAATATCATTCTGGATATAGACGCAGGCAAATATTTCATGATGAAGATTCCAAAAGCAATTGCAACAAGAAGAATTGACGAGTGGGACCTAATGAAACTAAAGAGCTTCAGCACAGCAAAAGAAGCTATCAACAGAGAACTCCCTACAGAACAGAAGAAAATATTTTCAAATTACATATCTGAAAAAGGTCTAATACTTAGCATGTATAAAGAATCAATAAGCAAAAAACAAACCCACTACAAATAGGCAAAGAACATGAACCCCCACATGCACCATCCTCAAGTCCATGTGCAACTTCTTTCTGGATGCTGGACAAGGACTTGGGTACCAAGAGGGCACTGAACGGGTTAACACTTAAGCCGTCTGTGGATTCTTTTTTCAAAAGACAACGTATGTATGGCAAACAACCATATGAAAAAATACTCAACATCACTAATCATCAGAAAATCAGAACCATGAGATACCATATCACACCGGTCAGAATGGCTACTATTAAAAAATCTAAACATAACAGACGGTGCCGAGTTTGTGGAAAAAAGGGAATGCTTATACACTGCTGGTGGTGATATAGAAAGGAGACAGGGAAATACTGGGTAGAAGAGAGTGGTTCTCTGGCAAAGCCCTGCCCACAAGCCTGGAAACCCATGGCCCTAAATGGGAACAGGCATTCCTGCTTTTGCACCCAAAAGTTGTCTTTCAGCTCACCATGCACCCCCTGTCCTGTACCCATATATGCCCCAGACCTCAGGCTCCAGAAGCAGACAAGCAGATGAGGAGATGAACAGAAGAGCAGAATTGCAGAATGATGTGGCAGAAAGAAGAGAAGGAGCATCTGAATGCCAAGAGGAGTTTGGCTGGCAGTGGTTGGAGAGATCAGCCTCCGGATGGCAAAGCTCCCGGAGAAGATCATCTTCCATTCCATCCCCTTTCCAGCTCCCCATCCATCCCATTGAGTGCCACCTCCACCACTCAATAAAACCCCCACATTCACCATCCTCAAGTCTGTGTGCAACTTAATTCTTTCTGGATGCTGGACAAGGAACTGGGTACCAAGAGGGCACTGAACAGGTTAACACTTAAGCCGTCTGTGGATGGCAAAGCTAAAAGAGTGCACTGTAACACATGCCCACTTGGGCTGTGGGAGTCGCAGGAACCCACCCCTAGACAGTACCATGGCCACTTGCCCTGCCTATTGCACCTGCCTGTCTGCATGCTCCCCTGCCCAGTAAGGGGTTTGACAGCACACACGGTGGCCAGACAAGCCACACCCCTGTTGCACATCCTGCCAAGGGGAGTCAGGGAAGTCTCCAGTTTCATCAGGAATGTAAATTTGTTCAGCCATTGTGGAAAGCAGTTTGGAGATTTCTGAAATAACTTAAAACAGAACTACCATTCAACCCAGCAATCCCATTATTGGGTATATACCCAAAGGAATATAAATCATTCCGTCATAGACATATGCACGCATATTTTCATTATAACACTATTCACAATAGCAAAGACACGGAATCAACTTAGATGCCTGTTAGCAGAAGACTGGATTAAAAAAATGCAGCGTACATACACCATGGAATACTACACACCTATAAAATAGGATGAAATAATGTCTTTTGCAGCAACATGAATGGAGCTGGATACCATTATTCTAAGTGAATTAATGCAGGATCAGAAAACCAAACAAACACTGCATGTTCTCACTTATAAGTGGGGGCTAAACATTGAGTCCACATGGACACAGAGAAGGGAACAATAGACACAAGGTCTACTGTGGGTGGAGCGTGGGGGGAGAGTGAGGATCAAAAAACTCCCTATTAGATACTACGTTCACTACCTGGATGACTACGTAATCTGTACACCAAATCCCATTGACACACATTTTACCCATATAATAAACCTGCACATGTACCCGCTGAACCTAAATAAATGTTGGAAGGAAATAAAGTTACAACCAACTCTTGTACTATTGTGAGGAAACAATCATATGTGTTGACAAAAAATCAGCTACTATTAGATTTATAATAGTATATATGTAGCAGAAAAATATCAGATATAACTTATATACTCAAAAGTATGACTTAAAAACAGCATGACAATCTTTATGATGGGATATTGTGCAACTACTAGAAGCACATTTTCAGAGATTATTTATTAACATATGATAATGACTACATTGAGTGGTTTTTAGAAGCATGAATTGAAACCATGTATAAGCATGACTTTATTGCACTTATATATAACATTACACAAACATTTACATAATTATAAAATAAGTATGCTCATGTTCATAATATGTATTTCTTTATATTCATATGTAAGGCCAATAGGAAGTAATCTCTGTATCTGAGTTATTATTTCATAAATAATTTATGCTTGTTCTGTGAAAATAAAAACACTGCTATGGATCTTCCAAGTATCCTGAAAGGATACCGTTTATAATTAAACAATAACAATTTTAGAAATAATTATTTTAAATAAGGCTATGATAAATCTGGTTTCATTGCACACTTTAACTTTGGAACATTTCATGAAGAGTCCCTTGATCACGACTCTCATATTCAGGAGTTTTTTGAGATCAAAATGGGACAATCAGTATGAATCTATTTTTTAGACATGCAAATGGATAACTTTAAATAGCAGTAGCGATATAATCAGAGTGCACAGTTGCTCTGGGACAAAACTTGGAAATGAGCATATTTTTAGATTCTTAATGTTTTACACACTTTAGAATTCCACAGCACCGTTACATACTCATTTTTCTACTAGAATACCTTGGTAAAAATTCACAGTAGAGATCAGGCTTGTCCTTCATACATTAACTAATCAAGTAGGAAAGTGCAAATGAGAACACAGTGCCAAACATAGGCACCACATGGAAACAAGCATGGAACTGCCAGGAAGCCATTTTTGTAGCTTTGTAGCCCAATTATATTTTTCCTAATGTATTGCACACAAAACTTGGGGGAAAAAAAAGAGGCAGAGAGAAAACAGGTTATATCAGCCCTATCTCACAATCCACAAGTTCATCCTATTAGAGGAGTAACTATGTAAAACAAATTTTATCTGTTGAATGTCCTATTTAGTTAATCGCAAAACTGTACGAGAACACACTTGTGACTTATTTAGCAGCTTGTTTGTTCGCTTTCCACTGGCTTCACAAATGTCCTTTGGAAATAGAATGTACATTTGGAACCTTGTACACCTTTTCTTTCTCCAGTACCCTCTTGTCACTTCCATCACTAAGGTGACAGAAGCAACTAGGGGCAATGCATTTGTAGCACACCTGGGTCAGAGGTATCCTCCAGGGGAAGGATCAGACCTGCTTGAAAGCATGTCGTTGGAATTGGGAGGCTTCTAGTAGCTATAACATAAGCACTGATGTTTACTGTTCCCTGCCCTCCATTTTGATCACTCTGGGAAACGTTTTTTTTTTTTTTTTTAAATCAATTGTATTGAAACATAATTGACATAAAATAAATACTATTTTAAAGTGCACAGTTTGCTGAGTTTTGCCAGGTGTAACCATCCAGGTGAATAAAATTGATTAAACTGATCTTTCAAATAATAAATTAACTTTGCAAACTTGCTAGAAATTTAATTTGTTCACAGTTTATTATCCATTCTATGTACTGCTACATTCAACTGGTTATTATGTTTTAAGGACTTTTGAGTCTATGTTTATGAGGGATAAACATCAAAGTTATATAATGCCTTTGTCTCGATTTGGAATCGGCAATACTGGGTTCATAAAATAAGATAGGAAATGTCCCTTTAAATTTTCTTTTTTTTTTTTTTTTTTTTTTTTGAGACGGAGATTCACTCTTGTTGCCCAGGCTGGAGTGCAATGGCACAATTTCGGCTCTCCACAATCTCTGCCTCCCAGATTCAAGCTATTCTCCTGCCTCTGTCTCCCGAGGAGCTGGGATTACAGGTAAGCGCCACCATGGCCTGCTAATTATGTACTTTTAGTAGAGACGGGGTTTTCTCCATGCTGGTCAGGTTGGTCTCAAACTCCTGACCCCAGGTGATCTGCCCGTCTTGGCCTCCCAAAGTGCTGGGATTACATGTGTGAGCCACTGTGTCCGGCCCTTAAATTCTATTTCTTAAAAAGAGTCCTTTCAAGATTGATATTATAGATACTCCTCAACTTACAATTGTCTTATGTCTTAATGAACTCATCCTAAATTGAAAATATTGTAAGTCTAAAACGCATTTAATATATTTAACCTACTGAATATCATGACTTAGCCTCGCCTACCTTAAACTTGCTCAGAACACTTACATTATCCTACAATTGGGCAAAATCATCTACCACAAGGCCCATTTTAAAATATTGAGTATCTCATGAAATTTATTGAAAACTATACTGATAGTGAAAAACTGGTCATATTGATGCTCATCATTAATGTACACAGATGAAAGCACCATTATCAAGTCAGAAGAGCACAAGTCAAACCACTGTATGTTGAGGACTCTCTGTACTTTCTTAAATGTTTGATAGAATTCACCTAAGAAAGCATGTAGCCTGTAATTATAGAAATCTTTTTAAATTAAAAAAATTCTTCAATACATAGAGAAGCTATTACTTTTTCTATTTCATTTTGCATCAGTTTTAAGAATTAGTTTTACAAATAATTTCCCATGTTATTTTAATTGTCAAATGTATTGGCCTAAAGTTTTCATAATTATATTGATGTCTGTAGGTTCTGTAGTTACATCCTCTATTTAATTCCCATTATCTACATTATGTAGCTTCTGTAATTTTTTTCGAGATAAATCTTGCTAGCCATTGTTTATTAAAAAATTTTTTTCAAAGAACCAATTTGTGGGTATATTAATTAGCTCCACCTTTTGTTATTTGCTATGTTGTTGGTTTACATTTTTATCTTTATCATCTTCCTTCTTCTTAATTTGGATATACTTTGCTCATTTTTTAGCCTCTTAAAAAAGAACCTAAAGGTCATTGATTGAAGCCTTTTATTTTCAATATATTACATCTATAAATGTACTTTTAAGAAACGATTTATCTGCATCCCACATTTTATTAAGTTTTTAAAAAATTTTCTTTCAGTTTAAACTATTTTTTTTGTGTGTGAAACTTTTCTTGGCCAATGGGTTTTTCTGAAGTATTTTGTTTAATGTTCAAATGTTGGGGTGTTATTGTACATATCCTACTGTTGTCCATCTCTGGTTCATGATACAATGCATGTTCTCCATTGCACTTAGATAACATGCCTCCATGTCTCTGGAGAATTCCTCAGTCTTTCTAAAATGCTTTTGATGAATACTGGCAGTTATTTTGTAGAATGTCCCTCCTCAATTTCAGTTAGTCTGATGTTTTCTCACGGTTAGGACTAAAGTTATACATTTTGTCTAAGAATACCATAGAATTGATGTTTTGTCCTACTCAGTGCATCATATAAGAAGTTACATGAAGTTCATTTATCTTATTATTAGTAATGTTAACTTTGATCACTTGGCTAAGTTGACATCTCCACTTTGAAGTTACTATTCTATAATTATCTTGTGGGAAGATACTTTCATATTATGCAAATATGTTCTTTCCCAACATATATTCACCACTAATCTTAGCATCCCTCCAAGGTTCTTTCTTGCAACAATTATTACTATGATATTTGCAAAGTGATGATTCTTATATTTTATGTCTCCTACATTTAATGAAATCTTACTGTAATAAAATACTACCCATTCTCAATCTTTGGTTTATTATTTATGTCAATATGGATTTTTTTTTGAGTTGGAGTCTTGTTTTGTCATCCAGGCTGGTGTGCAATGGTGCGATTTCCGCTCACTGCACTTCCACCTTCCGGGATTCAAGCCATTATCCTGCCTCAGCCTCCGGAGTAGCTAGGACTACAGGCATGTGCCACCATGCCCGGCTAATTTTTGTATTTTTAGTAGAGGCAGGGATTCACCACATTGGTCAGGCTGGTCTCGAACTCCTGACCTCAAGTGATCTGCCCGCCTCTGCCTCCCAAAGTGCTGGGAATACAGGCATGAGCAACCGCACCCGGCATGGATTAATTGAAAATTTTCTTCTGTAGATTGTAATATATTACTATTGTTATCTATTTTATTGCCCCAATTTTCTCAAATTTGGCTATGGAAGTTTATTCAAAGTGGATCTGTTTCCCTTTCACATTTTCCCCATTTTGTGAGCATTTCCTTACTTCCTAACATGACAAAATATTTCAAACTAATCTTGTATTTTCCCTGCCCGATCCTGATATCAAATATGTCCACAAGGAGCCTTGGTTCCTTTAATTGGAGAGTGGTGTTCTCATTGTTACTGGGATGATGTTGTTTCTAGGCCCTTTTGTTAGAGGAGCTAGAAAATATATGTATGTATACTCACACATTTATACACATCTGTACTTATTTATACAATTATCCATCTGTACGTATACTAAAAACAATGATTTCATGAAGCTTTTGATCCCAATCCAACACTAGATAAAGACTATATAGGCCCATTTATTTGCAAATCATCACATAAACATAGAAGAATTATTAACAATATAAGCTGTAGCTTATGCTAAATGTTGATAGGAACAGACAATAAGTTATGGAGAACTTCAGAGGACACTAAGGTTGGATGGGATTTTGGAAGTTGTACAGGTCAATGCCACTCCATCTATTGGCTGAGTTTCACTAGGTTAATACATGAACAACAACAAAAATAACCTAGATCAGAAGTTAAAGATCATTTTATTGACTATCTGCCGTGTCTGTGCCATTGCAGTGTACTAGGTGCACTTACGAGTCCTCTACTTACAAACTGCTTTTCACAAAATATGAAACTCCAGGCAAAGGTTCAGACATACGACGTTTGTTTTTAAAATCTTTCTACAGCCTTGTATCCTTTTTCCTTTCCTTCCTTTCACCCTTTTTAAAATGTGTTATGAGTTTTATCTTAGACTAACATCATCTGTAATGTTGCTATACGCCAGTATTCAGTTGCTGTGTTTGATGAATCATAAAATGGTGTAAAACTTCAATTAGTGTACTTTTTAAATAAAGTATCTATGAATGCATCCAGCAAAATGTTTATGATTTGAGTATTCACAAAATATTACTTTTCTCTGGATCTAACAATAATGTGAAAACCCAAAATGAATATAAAATGTTAGCTAATAATAGATTTCAAAGTATTCTACAAGTACGAAAAATATATGATATTGTTACTTTCATATATGTAAAACACTAATAATTTTTGTCAACATAAACATCATTTTTACACCTAAACTTGTATTAATTCAATTAAGAGTTAATATAGTATCCTAAAGTCATCAAATATTCAAAAATAGGATGTATTCTGACTTGGAATATACATAAAATTACCTATTTTCAGCTGAGCACAGTGGCTCATGCCTGTAGTTCCAGCACTTTGGGAGGCTGAGGTAGGCAGATTGCTTGAGATCAGGAGTTTCAGACCAGCCTGGCCAACATGGTGAAACCCTGTCTCTATCAAAAATACAAGTTAGCCAGGCATGGTGGAACCTGCCTGTAATCCCAACTACTCTGAAGGCTGAGGCAGGAGAATCACTTGAACCCAGGAGGCAGAGGTTGCAGTGAGCCAAGATTGCACCACTGCACTCCAGCCTGGGTGACAGAGTGAGGCTCCATATCAAAATAATAATAATAATAATAATAGTAATAATAATAATAACTATTTTCTGTGAGTCCAAAGATAAAATAGCATTACAGAATACCTAATAATCCTGAGTTTGGTTTTCTTGGTTTTATTTTTTCATTTAGTTTTGTTCACTTTGACCAGTGGGCTGGTGGTTCTTAGGTGCATCAAGGTTTTCATTTTTCAGTTCAAGATTTGAAAACCTTAATGTGGTAATTTCTCTAATTGTTTTGACAGTTACGTCCCAGGTTGCAAGTTAAAATAAAATTCCCATTTTACTAAAGTCCTTGGTTTATTAATGATTTTATAATGACTTAATATATAATTTAATGAGTAATGAGGGGTACTACATTTCAGAAATCAACACTGAAGAACTTATTCATGGAACCAAACACCACCTGTTTCTCAAACACCTATTAAAATAAAAATACATATAAATAATTTTTAAAAATAAACACTAAAAATAAAGTGAAAATGAAAAAATATATATCCAGGTTAAAAAAAAAACTACTTCAGTTAAACAATAAATACTTTTTGGGGGGACTCAACTCTACTACAAAATTATTCGTTGTTTATTATAATCAATAATACAGGTAAAATAATAAGTTTTTAAAAATGGAAAAATTGTAAAAAATAAAACGATATTAACAAATATTGGTATACTGGTGAAGGCCGGGCTCAGTGGCTGCTTTCCAAAGTGGTTACACCAGTCGGGCATGGTGGCACACACCTGTAATCTCAGCACTTCCGGAAGCTGAAGCAGGCAGATCACTTGAGCTCAGGAGTTTGACACAAACCTGGGCTACATGACAACACCCCATTTCTACCAAAAACTGTAAAAATCAGCTGCTCATGATAGCATGCATCTGTAAGTGCCAGCTACTTAGGAGGCTGAGGTGAGAGGATCACTTGTGCCTGGAAGGTCACAGCTGCACTGGCCATGTTCATGTCACTGCACTCCAGCCTGGGCAACAGAGCAAGATTTTGTCTCAAAAAAAAAAAAAGTTGGTGACAATTGGAATAATTGGAACTCACATACATTACTGGTGGGAATATAAAATGGTGTAATCAATTTGGGTGTTTTCTTGGCATTTGATTTTTTTAAAAAATCAAGATATTGTTTCCCTATGTTGCCCAAGGTTGTCCTGAACTCCCGAGCTAAGAAAATCCTCCAAACTCAGCGTCTCAAATACCTGAGATTAAAGGTGTGAGCCACTGTGCCTGACCAGTGTAACCACTTTGAAAAACAACGTGGCAGTTTCTCAAAGACTAAATGTATAGTAATCACATAATGCAACAATTTCACTCCTGAGTGTAAATCCAAGAGAAATAAAAATATATGTTCACACTAAAACTTACGTACGAGTGTTCATAACAGCCTGACTCATGATGGTGAATACTCAAAAACAACACAAATGTCCATCAACTAATGAATGGATAAACATAAACTATTACTCAGCTACAAAAGGAAAGAAATCCTGATACACACTATAACATGATAGAAATTTGAAAACATTCTGCTAAGAGAAAAAAAAGCAAATTACAAAAGATCACACATTGTACAATTCTATTTCTATAAAAGGTCCAGATTAGGCAAAACTACAATGACAGAAAATAAATCACTGGTTGCCTATGAACATGGGGTACGTAGGAGGTAGCGGCTAAGAGGTGAGGGTTTCTCACTCATAAGTGGGTAACTCACAAGTGGGTGATCACTTCTAAGAAAGACTGTGGTGATGGATGCACAGCTCCTTGAATATTCTAAAAACCACTCAATTGTATACTTTCTTTTTTTTCTTTAGTTATTTAAAGACGGTCTCCTTTTGTCACCCATGCTGTAGTGCAGTGGTGCCATCTGGTCTCACTGCAACCTATGGCTTCTGGGCTCAAGTGATCTTCCAGTCTCATGTCCCCAAGTAGTTGGGACTACAGGCATGAGCCACCACACCAGCTAATTTTTGTATTTTTGCTAGAGATGCTGTTTTGCCATGTTGCCCAGGCTAGTCGCAAACTCCTGAACACAAGCGATCCACCTGCCTCAGCTGCCCAAAGTCTTAGCGTTATAGGAATTAGCCACTGCACCTGGCCTGAATTGTGTACTTTGATAAATGAATTGCATGATACGTTAATCATATTTCAATAACGTTATTATTTTAAAAATGGCTGGGCATGGTGTGGTGACTCACGCCTCTGATCTCAGCACACTGGGAGGCCAAGGTGGGTGGATTGCCTGATTTCAGGAGTTCGAGACTAGTCTGGCCAACATACTGAAACTCTGTCTCTACTAAAAATACAAGAATATTAGCTGAGAGTGGTGACATGGGCCTGTAATTCCAGCTAGTCGGGAGGCTGAGGCAGGGGAGTTGCTTGAACCAGGGAGGTGGAGGTTGCAGTCAGCTGAGATCACACCACTGCATTCCAGCCTGCATGACAGAGTGAGAGTCCATCTCCAAAAGAAAGAAAGAAAAAGAAAATGGGCATTGAACACAGGTGGCTCCCACATACATATAATCCAAGCACTTTGGGAAGCTGAGGCAGAATGATCACTTGAGGCCAGGAGTCTGACAACATCCTGAGCAACACAGCAAGATCCCATCTGTACAATAAAAAATAAAGAAGTTAGCTGGGCATAGGGGCAAATATATGTAGTCCCAGCTACTTGGGAGGCTGAGGTGGGAGGACTGTTTGAGTCCAGGGTTTCAGGCTGCAGTGAACCATGATCATGCCATTGCACTGCAGCCTGGGTGACAGAACAAAACCCTGTCTCTAGAAAGAAAAAAAAAGAAATCCAAGTTTTTATCACCTTCTGAGAGTAATCAACATTCAGGAGAAACACACAAGAACAAAAGACCACTGAATGGTTGAGGGTGGGTTGCTGGTTAGGTTCAGTGGCCAGCTGAGTAGTATCTGAAAAATTCATTAGTAAAATTATGGCACTAGGGGTGAGTCATGCAGTCGAAGGATGAATACTAAATCCAGTACAAACACCCATGGTCTTTCTTTACATGAATTCCAGTGAAAAATTTCTAAGTGCCTAAAATAGCAAGTGGTCTGAAATGATGGCAGCAGTTTATTAAAGACTGAAAAAAGAGGCCAGGCACGGTGGCTCACACCTGTAATCCCAGCACTTTAGGAGTCCAAGGCCAGTGGATCACAAGGTCAGGAGTTCAAGACCAGCCTGTCCAACATGCTGAAACCCCGTATCTACAGAAAATACAAAGCTTAGCCGGGCATGGTGGCATGTGCCTGTAGTCCCAGCTACTTCAGAGGCTGAGACAAAAGAAATGCTTGAACCCGGGAGGCAGAAGTTGCTGTGAATTGAGATTGTGCCACTGCACTCGAGCCTGGTGACAGAGGAAGATGCTGTCTCAAAAAAAAAAAAAGAAAGAAATGGCATCTTCAAGAACCACAAGAGAGTTCCACACTGAAGAAGCTCTGATTCTGCATTTGCTGAACTACTGATTTGAGTTAGCCAATATAACACTATCTTAGATAAAGTGTACAAACAACTCAATTTCATCTCCTCATTAATAACTGATTAGTCTAATATCAATTCTGATTTTTAAAAAGCTAATTAGAAAAAGAATTAATTATAGAACCAATAAGAGGTTTGAATAGTTACAAGCTATTCAAAGGAGAATTCAAAAAACCACTCAGGTATGAGGCCATAAAGTATGATGAAATAAATTTCATTAATATATTTTAAAATAAACTGATTAGACAGGCAACAACACCTGGGCACGGGTCTCCTCACCTCCAGCAACACAAACCCAATCGCGCAGCTATGGGGTTGCAAAGGCTGCATAGTGACAAACAGACTGCTCTGAGCTGAGATTTCTTTACTTGTATCTGTATTCTGAGACCGGGTCTCACTCTGTCACTCTGGCTGCAATGCAGGGGTGCACTCATAGCTAACTGCAGCTGTGACCTCCTGGGCTCCGGGGATCCTCCTGCCTCACCCTCACCATAGCTACGGCTACAGATGAACACCAAAACACCCAGCTAATTTTTTTTTTTTTTTTTTTTTTTTTTTTTTTTTTTTTGTAGAAAGAGGAGCCTTGCTATGTTGCCCAAGCTGGCCTCAAACTCCCGCCCTCAAGAGATCTGCCCACCTCAACAACCTAAGTAACAGGTTCTACAGGAAAATACCACTATGCCGGGATAATTATATTTTATTAATTTTTATTTGCGTACACAGGAAGTCTTGCTGTGTTGCCCAGGGTGGTCTCAAACTCCTGGACTCAAACCATTCTCCCATCTCTGCCTCCCAAAGTGCTGAAGCTACGGACATAAGCCACTACACCTGGCCCGACTTAAGATTTCTGTAATCTAGCATCCCATACTTCATATAATTGGGAAAAGCAGTAGTGGTTTTTTTTTAATTACTTAGCATTTCAACAAGAATCAACCATCTCTCACCATTGCCAGGGACCTGGTCAGAACCACAATCATCTCCCTCCTGGAGGTTGCCACAGCATGGCCTCCCTGCTTCTACCCAAATCTTCCCACAATCTTTCTCAACTCAGCTGCCATGGGATGCTTTTAAATCAGTAGACAGTTCGTGTCACCTCTCTGCTCAGAACCCTTCTGCATCTCCCATCTCAGACAGAATAAAAACCAAAGCCCCAGCAATAGCCTCCCAGGGCTTACACAATCTGTACTGATCTGAGTCCAACAACTCCCTGGCCTCCTTCCCTACTTCTCTCCCTCTCTCTACTCCACAGACCTCTTTCCTGAGCTTCAGACACACCACGGAGTTCCCTCTTAGCATCTTTATTCTGTTGTTTCTGCCTAAAATGCTCTTCCCTCAGTACCTTGGCCAGCTCCTTCCCCTCCTTCAAGTCTTTGCTCAATTTTCACTTAGGAGGCCAACCTGACCACTCTATTTAATATTGCTATCTGTCCCTATTCCTGCCATACTCACTCATTTCTTTTTTCTATTTTTTTCTAAGATATAATCTCGCTGTGTCACTCAGACTGGGGTGCCATGGCACGATCACAACGCACTGAGACCTGGAGCTCCTAGGTCAAGAAATTGTCCTGCCTCAGGGCCTCTAGTAGCTAAGACTACAAGTGCATGCCACCACACCCGCTAATTTTTTTTTTTTTCATGTAGACAGGGTATCATTTTGTTGCCCAGACTTATCGTGAACTCCTGGGCCAAAGCAACCATCCTGCCTCAGCCTCCTAAATAGCTGGAATTATAGGTGTGGGCCACCAATTCTGGCTTCGTGTTCATTTCTTCTTGCCGCTGTTACAAACTACCCTACATTGAGTGGCTTAATACACCACAAATCTACTCACTAAGAGGTCTGGGGGCCAGAAGTCCAAAATAGGTCTATTAAGGCTAAAGTCAAGGTGCCAGCAGGACTGCATCCCTTCTGGAGGTTCTGGAGAGAATATGTTCCCTTGCCTTTCCCAGTTGCTAAAGCCACTCCTATTCTTTGGCTCATGGCCCCTAACTGCATCTTCAAAGCCTGAAGCAAAGCATATTCAAATCTCCCTCTGTGACCTGTGCTTCCATCATCAAATCTCCTTCAATTCGGACTCTCTTACCTCCCTCTTTCACTTATAAAGACCTCTTGTGATTGCTGGACACAGAGGCCGTGGCTCACAACCATAATCCCAACAGTTTAGGAGGTCAAAGCAGGAGAAACGCTTGAGGCCAAAACTTCAGGACCAGCCTGGGAAACACAGCGAGACCCCCTCAATTAAACAACAAAAAGAAATAAGAAAAAATTAGCTGGGCATGGTAGTATGCATCTGTAGTTTCAGCTACTTGAGAGGTTGTGGTGAAAGGATCGCTTTAGCCCCAGAGTTCAAGACCAGCCTCGGCAATATAACAAGATCCTATCTCTACAAAAAATACAAAAATTAGCTGGGCATGGATGGTGTGCACCTGTAGTCCCAGATGCTTGGAAGGCTGAGGTGGTAGAATTGCTTGAGCACAGGTGGTTGAGGCTGCAGTTAGCTACAACACCATCACTGCACTCCAGATTGGGTGAAATAGAGACTCTGTGTTCAAAAGAAAAAGAAAAGAAATACACATTTGGTTTCTGCCCCTCATCCTGGCAAAGAGATTCTCAAGCTCTTATAAAGGCCTTGGTGATGAAAGTGATGAGGCATCTTCTGTTTCAATATTTGGTCTTAGTCCCAGGTTTCTAACACAAGAGCCTCTAAGACCTTTGGGATCACCATAGTAAGAATGCATTTGGTGATGTTACTGAGATGACTGGGTGACTGAAAGCTTGTAGACAGCTTCAGAAAAAGGGGTGGTTGTTGTCAGAAGAACAAACCATGTGATTAGAGGCTTGGAACTGTCAGCCTCACCCCCTGGGCTCCAGGAAGAAATAGTGGCCGAAGACTGACTTAATCACCAATGGTCAATGACTTCACCAATCATGCCTGCATAATGAAGCTTTCATAAGCGCCCTCAACAACTGGAGTTGGAGAATGTCTGTGTTGCTGAACACAAGGGAGATACCAGGAATGTAATATGCACAATAGAGGACATGGAAGTTCTATACCCCTCTCGACATACCTTGCCCTGTGTGTGTGTGTTTTTTTTTTTTTTTGAGACAGAGTCTGGCTCTGTCTCCCAGCCTAGAGTGTCATGGCACAATCGTGGCTCACTGTGACCTATGCCTCCCTATCTCAAGCCCCATCCTCTCATCCTCTCACCTCAGCCTCCTGAGTAGCTAGAATTATAGGCACTGAGTAGCTAGAACTATAGATAACTGTGCCTGGCTAATTTTTAGAAAAATCTTTTTGTAGAGATGCATTTTCACCTTGTTACCCAGGCTGGTCTTAATCTCCTGAGCACTTAAGCAATGCTCCCGCCTCAGTCTCCCAAAGTGCTGAAATTACAGGCATGAGCCACTGTGCCCAGCATGTACATCTCTTTCACTGTCTGTTTCTGAGATTTAGCCTTTAAAATGAACCAGTAAAAGAAAGTAAATTGGTGAGATGCAGTGGTTCATGCCCATAATCCCAGCATTTTGTGAAGTTGAGGTGGGAGGATCACGTGAGCCCAGAAATTTGAGACCAGCCTGGGCAACATAACAAGACCCCATCTCTACAAAAAGTAAAAGAACATAGCCAGATATGCTGGTACAGGCCTATAATCTCAGCTATTTGGGAGGCTGAGGTGGGAGGATCACTTGAGCCCAGGAGTCCCATGCTACAGTGAGCTTTGATCACACCACTGCATTCCAGCCTGGCAACAGACTGAGACCCTGTATCTCAGAAAAAAAAGAAAACAATCTGTTTTTCTGAGTTCTTCAAGCAAATGTCCGAGCAAATGATTCCACCCACCAATGGGGGTCATGAAACCCTGTTTTCTAACTGGTTGGTCAAAACTACATGTAACAACCCAAGACTTGCAATTGGCATGTGGAGTGAGGGTAGACTCCTGGGACTGAGCTCCCATCCTGCAGGGTCTGCACTAACTCCAGGGAGTGTCAGGATGGAATTGTAGGATACCCAGTTGGGATCCAGATTGTCTGAAAATCAGTGTAGAAACTCCACATGCACATTTGGTCAGAGGTGTTTGACCGTAACTACTATTCACGAAAAAGGTCTACTCATTAGAACTAAAAATCACAAAATTGTAAGTTCTACAAAAACAAATCAACCTTATCTACCGCCCAGTCCTACCGAACTATAGAATGTGAGAACAGAAGGTCTGACCATGGAGTCGAGAGCTGACAGGAATGTCACCACCATCCTGCTCTCCAAGGACTCCTCATCTTCAACAGACTCCTCATCTTCAATGGGCAGGGTGGAAACTGCAACTTGTGCCATGATCCTTGCACAAGAAAAGTAGTAAGAAAATGAGTGGTAGAAATCCAGTGTCCTAAACTCACATCCAGAGCTGTGAGAGTTTTTTACTGGCTGGATAATTCACAGTTTTCTTGAATCAGGGGAAAAATAAGACTCAGAAACTAGGAATTCGTTTTGCCCAAAACTCTCATCAGATACAGAATCCATCCGCTAACTATCTAGTATTATTTCCATAAGTTAGATCAATTATCACTCCCAAAACAAATGCACATGGCACCCAGAATCTGTGCATTTCTCCAAAGTAAAAGAGGAGGTGGACGGGCGCAGTGTCTCATGCCTTTAACCCCAGCACTTTGGAAGGCCAAGGTGGGTGGATCACCTGAAGTCAAGAGTTCAAGACCAGCCTGGCCAACATGGTGATACCCTGTCTCTACTAAAAATAAAAAAAGTTAGCCAGGTGTGGTGGCATGTGCCTGTAGTCCCAGCTTCTTGGGAGGCTGAGGCAGGAGAATCACTTGAACCCAGGAGGCTAAGGTTGCAGTGAGCAGAGATCGCACCACTGCACCTCAGCCTGGACGACAGAGTGAGACTCTGTCTCAAAAAAAAGGAGGGGAGGAAAGGAGGCAAGGCACTTTACAACCCAGTGATGAGCTACCACAACTCAACACAGCAAAGAGTTGCCAAGCTCCCTTTCTCCCTTGCACAACCAGACACAGAAGAGTTGGTGCAGTGGAATGAGGCTGGATGGAGAGAAGTTCTTCTTCTTTCTTTCCTTTTTTTTTTGAGATGGACTCTCACTCTGTCACACAGGCTGGGGTGCAGTGGTGCAATCTCGGTCACTGTAACCTCTGCCTTATGGGTTTAATCAATTCTCTGCCTCAGCCTTCCGAATACCTGGGATTAGAGGCACCCCCCACCACACCCAGCTAATTTTTTTTTTTTTTTTTTTTTTTTAGTGGAGACTGGGTTTCACTATGTTGGCCAGGCTGGTCTTGAACTCCTGACATTAGGTGATCTACTCACCTCGGTCTCTAAAAGTGCTAGGATTACAGGCATGAGCTGCTGTGCCCAGCCAAGAAGTTCCTCTTCTTACTTAGAAAACAGATCACAGGGCATCAAGTAACACGTAAAATCCTCTATAATAAGCAGCATTATTTTTGGAAAACCTTTCCTAATATTTTGGTATCAGTGAAAAGCCTCAGATTAATTTCAAACACTATAAAAATACAATACATAAACAGAAAATATTAACTGTCAGCAATGCTATAGAGAAATTGGAAGCTGTATGCATTGCTTTATGGAATGTAAAATGGTACAGCCCACTGTGGAAAATGGTTTAGCAGCTCCTTAAAAATATGAAGCATAGAATTATATGATCCATCAACACCCTTTAAGCATATATACCCAAAAGAACTGAGAGCAGGGACTCAAACAGGTATTTGTACACCCGATTAACAGCAGCATTATTCACAGTGGCCAAAAGGTAGCCCAAACCTAATGCCCATCAGTAGGTGAATAGATAAAGAAAATGTAATATATACATACACAGAGTATTATTCAGCCATAAAAAGAAAAATATCTGGCCAGATTCAGGGGCTTACACCTGTAATCCCAGTATTTTGGGAGGCCAAGGTGGGCAGGTCTCTTGAGCCCCATATTTTGAGACCAGACTGAACAACATGGCACATTTGGTTAGAAGTGTTTGACCATAACTACTATTCCAGAAAAAGATCTACTCATTAGAACTACAAATCATAAAATTATAAGTTCTACAAAAACAAATCAACCTTATCTACCACCTAGTTCTACCAAATTATATCATGTTAGAACAGAAGGTCTCACCGTGAACTCGAGAGCTGATATGAGAAATGTCACCACCATCCTGCTCTCCACGGAATCATCTTCAACAGACTCCTCATCTTCCATGGACTCCTCATCTTCCATGGGCAGGGTGGAAACTGCAACTTGTGCCATGATCCCTGTGCAAAAAAGTAGTAAGAAATTGAATGGTAGAAATGCAGTGTCCTAAACTCACATCCAGAGCTGTGAGAGTTTCTCACCGGCTGCCAAATTGTTTTTTGGGTCAGAGAAAAAAATAAAACTTGGTAACCTGGTACTCGACTTGCCCCAAACTCTCATCAGATAGAGAATCTATCCGCTAACTTTCTATCTAGTATTATTTCCATGAAGTTACATCAATATCACTCTCAAAATAAATCCAGGTGGAAGACTAAATCCAAAGCTAGCAGAAGGAAAGAAATAATAAAGAGCATAATTAGAGCATAAATCAATAAAACAGAAGGTTGGAGAGCAGTAGAATGAAAAAATGTAGATTCTTTGAAAGATCAAGCCTTTCACTATATTGACTGAGCAAAAGATGGAAGACTAATTATTAAAATAATAAATGAAAGCAGAGCCATTACTACCAACTTTATAGAAATACAAAAGGATTACAGGAGTATACTGTGAACAACTGTCTAGCAACAAACTAGGTGCCCTGGATGAAATGGATGAATCGCTAGAAAGACACAAACTACCAAAGTGGCTCAAGAAGAAAGAGAAAATCTGAATAGACCTATAACCTAGGAGATTGAATTAGTAATCGAAAGCGATTAACAAAGAAACATTTATGACCAAATAGCTGCATTAACTGGTGAGTCAACCTAACATTTAAAGAAGAATTAATACCATTTCTTCTCAAACTCTTCTGACAAAATATATGAAGAAGGAATACTTGCTAATTCATTTTTTGATAACAGCATTATCCTTATACCAAAGACAAAGAGAGCACAAAAGAGAGAAATACAGCACTATATCCCTTATGAATATATAAGCAAAAATCTCAGCAAAATACTAGCAATACTAGCAAAATACTAGCAGCAGCAATACTGTATAATCAAAGGATTGTAAACTATCACCCTTTGAGATTTATCCCCAAAATGCAAGGGTGGTTCAACATATAAAAAATCAATCAGTGTAATATGCTGTAACAGTAAAATGAATAAGCACGTGATTATTTCAATTGATGCAGAGAAAACGTTGATGAAATACAACACCCTTCTATAATAAAAATACTCAATAAACTAGGCATAGAAGGGATCTTCTGCAACATGACAATGGGATGTACAAAAACCCAACAGTTAATATCATGATCAGTGATGAAACACTGAAAGCTGTTTTCCTAACATCTAGAAGAAAAGGATGGTGCATTTGCCACTTGTATTCAACGTAGCACTGGCAGTTCTAGCCAGAGCAATTAGGCAAGACAAAGAAATAAAAGGCATCTAAATTAGAAATAAAAAATAGGTGTAAAATTATATCTACACATGATCTTATGGGTATAAAGCTCCAAACAAAACACAAAACCGATTATAACTAATAAAAGAGGCAGGATGCAAACAAACATAGGCAAATGAGCTATATTTCTATATAGTTGTAAAGAACTATGAAAACATTTTAAAAATTCCATTTATAATGACATCAAATAATACGTTATTCAGGCATACATCTAACCATGGTGGTATACACAAAACATTGCTGCAAAAAACTAAAGAGAGTGGAAATAAGTGGAAAGACATTCTGTGTTCACGGGTTGTAAGACAATATTGTTAAGATGACAATACCATCTAAAGTAATCTACAGATTCAATGCAATACCATCAAAATCCCAAAGGCATTTTTGCAGAAACAAAGAAACTCATTCTAAAATCATACAAAAATTCAAAGGATCTGACAGATAAAACAGTCTTGAAAAAGAACATTGGAAAACTCACATTTTTCAGTTTCACAGCCTACTACAAATCTACAGTAATCAAGAGAGTGTGGTACTGGAATAAGACCAATAGACTTTCAGACCAATACAATAGAACAGATTTGAGATCCTACAAATTAGTCCTCACATATATGGTCAATGACGGTTCAACAAGGTGGCCAAGTCTAGTCAAGGGAGGAAAGAACAGTCTCTTCAACAACTGGATGTCAGTGCACAAGAGAGAAGTTAGACCCCTACTTTGCAGTATATACAAAAATTAATTCTAAATTAATAAAAGACTTAAATGTAAGGACTAAAAATATGTAACTCTTAGAAGAAAACACATGGTAAACCTTTATGACCTTTGAGTTTTAAGCGTATTTTGAAATATGACAGAAAAGCACAGATAACAAAAGAAAATACACGAAAATTAGATTTAATCAAAATAAAAAACCCTTTATGTATCAAAGGGTACTATCAAGGGAGTGAAAAGACAACCCATAATATGTGAGAAAATATGTATCTGATAAAATCAAAATGTGTATCTGATAAAAGCTTAATGTTCCACAACTCAACAACAGAATTTCTAAGATCCCAATTAAAAAATAGGCAAAGTACTTGAATAGACATTTCTCCAAAGAAGATACACAAATGTCTAAGAAGGAAAAGAAAAGATGCTAAACACCATTATTCATTAATAAAATGCAAGGCAAAACCCAAATGAGATGCCACTTTGCATCCACTAGTAAGGCTTTCATAACAACGACACAGAAAATCAATGTTGCTAAGGAGGTGGAGAAACTGGAGCCCTCATGAACTGGCTGCTAGGAATAGAAAATGATGCACTTGCTGTGGAAAACAGTTTGGTGGTTCCTCAAAGAATCACACAGAGAAACAGGCGCCGCTGGCTTGCGGGTTCTCCTGGGCTGGCACGGGACGTCCCGGAATCGCAGGCCAGCACTCCTTCCCGCCTGAGGGTCCGTCTGGCCGTGACTCCCGCCCCTCTCCTCCTCCGAAGAGAGATCGGGGCCGCCCCAGGGGCCATCTGCAGCCACAGGGGATGGGGCTGAGGGTCGGTTCCTGCCCTGGTGCAGCCGCCCCTGTGCAGACCGCCTGGCTTGGTCGCAGTCATGGTGACATCTAGCCCCGGTTCTGCGAGGCTGGGCGCGCCAGCCAGCTTGGGAGTCGCCCGGCGCCTGTAGCTGGGCGCCCAGGTGGTGGAGCATGCCCTGGGCGGCCTCTGGATCGCGGGTGCCCCTGGCCTGAGAGCCTGCCAGACCCTGCCCCGGCCCGGCTCCTCCCCTGTCAGAGCTCCAGATCTCTATCCAGGGGCCCTCTGCAGCCACCGGGGATGGGGCTGAGGGCCGGTTCCCACCCCTGTGCAGCTGCTGCAGTACAGACCGCCTGGCTTGGCAACAGCCACAGGGACATTTGGCCCTGCTTCCAAGATGTGGGGAGTGTGGGCGGGCTCGGGAGTTGCCTGGAGGCTGCTGCCTGCACGCAGAAGGCGGCTGCAGCTCGGGTGCCCAGGCAGGCTGGAGGTGCATGGCCTGGTCGGCCTTGGGATCGCCAGCGCGCCAAGACTGAGGGCCCCCAGGCCGTGCCTCCTGACCACTCCTCCACCTGAGGGAGATCGGAGCCGTTTATATGGGCACTCGGCAGTCACCTCGTGTGGGGTTGAGCGGTGGGTTCTCAGTTCTCGCTCCTGTGCAGCTGCTGCCGCAGGGCAGAATGCCTGGCTTGGCTGCAGCCACTGGGACACGTGGCCCTGCTTCTGTGATGCTAGGAGCGCGAGCGGGCTCAGGGGTTGCCAGGCAGGTGCTGCCTGCACACAGGGGGCGACGGCAGCTTGGGCGCCCAGATGGCGGAGCATGGTTTGGGTGGCCTCTGGAATGCGTGCACGCCAGGCCTGAGGGTCACCCTGGTGGGGCCACATACCCCGGTCTTCCTCTGCTGGAGCCTGGAGCAGCTGGAATGGCCACTATTCCGTCACAGGGGATGGAGTTAAGTTTTCTTATCCCACCCATGCACACAAAAAGGTGACTATTCTGTGAGGTAATAAACGTGTTAATTGACTTCATTCATGCCACTCTGCATCCACAAGTAAGGGTTTCATAACAATGACACAGAAAATAAATGTTGCTAAGGAGGTGGAGAAGTTGGAGCCCTCATGATCTGGCTGCTAGGAATAGAAAATGATGCCCTTGCTGCGGAAAACAATTTGGTTGTTCCTCACAGAATGAGCATTGGGTGAAAAATGAAATCAAGATGGAAATGTAAAAAATGTCTTCGAACTGGATGACACAACCTATCAAGACCTCTGGGATACAGCAAAGGCACTGCTAAGAGCAAAGTTTGTAGTCCTAAAAACCTACATCAAAAAGTCTGAAAAAGCACAAACAGACAATCTAAGTTCACATCTCAGGGAACTAGAGAAACAGGAACAAGCCAAACCCAATCCCAGCAAACACAGGAAATAACAAAGATCAGAGCAGAACTAAATGAAATTGACACAACAACAACAACAACAAATACAAAACATAAATAAAACAATAAGTTGGTTATTTGAAAAGATAAATAAAATTGATAGACCATTAGCAAGATTAACCAAGAAAAGAAGAGAGAAAATCCAAATAACCTCACTAAGAAATGAAACAGGGGATATTACAACTGACACCACTGAAATATTAAAGATTATTCAAGGGTACTATGAATACCTTTTGGCACATAAACTACAAAACCTAGAAGAGTTGGATAAATTCCTGGAAAAATACAACTCTCCTAGCTTAAATCAGGAAGAATTAGATACCCCAAGCAGACCAATAAAGCAAGCAGCAAGATTGAAATGGTAATTTTAAAATTACCAGCAAAAAAAGCTGAGGGCCAGACAGATTCACAGCAGAATTCTACCAGACATTCAAAGAATGTCTTCTTTCATTCAAGGAAGAAATGATACCAATCTTTTCATACTATTCCACAAGACAGAGAAAGAAGAAACCCTCCTTATTCATTCTATGAAGCCAGCATCACCCTAATACCAAAACCATGGAAGGACATAACCAAAAAAGAAAACTACAGACCGATATCCTTGATGAACTTAGATGCCAAAATCCTTAACAAAATACTATCTAACTGAATCCGACAACATATCAAAAAATAATCCACCATGATCAAGTGGGTTTTATACCAATGATATAGGAGTGGTTTCACATATGCAAGTCAATAAGTGTGATACACTAAATAAACAGAATTTAAAAAATCTAATATGATTATATCAACAGGTACAGAAAAAAACATTTGACAAAATCTAGCATTGCTTTATGATTAAAGCTCTCAGCAAAATAGGCATACAAGGGACATACCTTAATGTAATAAAAGCCATCTATGACAAACCCACAACCAACATAATACTGAATGGGGAAACGGTGAAAGCATTCACTTTGAGAACTGGAACAAGACAAGGAGACTACTCTCACCACTCCTCTTCAACATAGTACTGGAAGTCCTAGCCAGAGCAATCAGAAAAAAGAAGGAAATAGAGGAAATCCAAATCGGTAAAGAGGATGTCAAACTGTCACTTGTTGCTGATGATATAATCTTTTGCCTAGAAAACCCTACGGACTCCTCTAGAAACTTCCTAGAACCGATAAAAGAATTCAGCAAAGTTTCCAGATACAAGATTAATAGACACAAATCCGTAGCTCTTCCATACATCAACAGCTACCAAGAAGAGAATCACATCAAGAACTCAACCCCTTTTACAATAGCTGCGACAAACAACAACAACAAAAAAACAAAACTTAGGAATATACCTAGCAAAGGAATCAAAGGACAGCTACAATGAAAATTACAAAACACTACTGAAAGAAATCATAGATGGAGCCAAGCACGGTGGCACACGCCTATAATCCGAGCTACTCGGGAAGCTGAGGCAGGAGAATCGCTTGAACCCGGGAGGCAGAAGTTGTAGTGAGCCGAGATCACACCATTGCACTCCCACCTCAGCGACAAGAGCGAAACTCCCTCTGAAAAAAAAAAAAAAACAAGAAAGAAAAGAAGTCATAGATGACACAAACAAATGGAAACGCATCCCCATGCTCGTGGATGGGTAGAACCAGTATTGTGAAAATTACCATTCTGTTAAAGGCAATCTACAAATTCAAAGCAATCCCCATCTGAATGCCACCATCATTCTTCACAGAATTACAAAAACAATTCTAAAATTAATATGGAACCAAAAAAGAGCCATGTAACCAAACCAAGCCTAAGCAAAAAGAACCTGGAGGTATCACACTACTTGATTTCAAACTGTACAATAAGGCCATAGTTACCAAAACACCAACGTACTGGTTTAAAAATAGGAACATAGACCAATGGAACAGAAGAGAGAACCCAGAAATTAACCCAAATACTTACAGCCAACTGATCTTCGACAAAGTAAACAAAAACATAAAGTGGGGAAAGGACCCCCTTTTCAACACATGATGTTGGGATAATTGGCGAGCCACATGTAGGGGAATAAAACTGGATTCTCATCTCTCATCTTATACAAAAATCTACTCAAGATGGATTAAGAACTTAAATCTAATTCCTGAACTATAAAAATTCTAGAAGATAACACTGGATAAACCCTTCTAGACATTGACATACGCAAGGATTTCAAGACCAAGAACCCAAACGCAAATGCAATAAAAACAAAGATAAATAGCTGGGACTTAATTAAACTAAACAGCTTTTGCATGGCAAAGGGAACAGTCAGCAGAGTAAATGGACAACTCAAAGAGTGGGACCCCTGAACCTGACCCTGACCCCTGACCCTGATCCCTAACCCCTGACCCTGACCACTAACCCCTGACCCTAACCCTAACCCCTAACCCTAACCCTTAACCATAACCCCTAAGCCTAACCCCTAACCACAACCCTCACCCTCACACTAATCCAACCCTAACCCCTTATCCCTAACCCCTAACCTCTCTTAACCTCTAACTCTAAAGGTTGACTCTTAACTCTTAACTCTGACCTCAACCCCTATCTCCAACCCCTAACCCTAAACTTAACCCCTAACCCCTAACCCTAACACCAACCTTAACCCTAGGTTCGTTACTACGTTTGTACTATGTCAATGTTGATTATTATGATCTCTGTCTTAGGACTGCATGGCAGCAAGGGGATTTCGGATCTTATATTAATATTTTTGTATTGAGGCAGTGCATTAGCATTACAGTTGCTTGTTACATGAGCAATGGGGGTGTCATATTTTGGGTGTCATGTCTGCATTAGGAATGCTGCATTTGTCTTCTGAGGCTGCGGTGTGGATCTCGCACTGTGGCTGCCTTGGCTTGGCTGGGGAGAACCTCCGTTGGCAGGATTCAGAGGGGCTTTTGGTTTCCCTTTTCCACACTGAGCCCTTCTAACTGGTCTCTGACCCTGATTATTCAGGGCTGCAAAAGGGAAGGATTTTATTCACCGTCTATGCGGTCCCAAGTTTTCCCAAAGCGAGGCAGTGCCCCAAAGGTCTGTGCTGAGGAGAATGCTGCTCTGCCTTAGCGGTGTCCCCCGGGTCTGTGCTGAGCAGAACGCAGCTCCGCCCTTGCGGTGCCCCCGGCCCGCCTGGGTCTGTGCTGAGGAGAACACTGCTCCGCCTTCGCTGTATCTCTGAAGTCTGTGCAGAGGAGAACTCAGCTCCGCCCTGGCGATGCTCTCCTTGTCTGTGCTGGGAAGAACACAGCTCCGCCCTCGCAAAGGCGCACAGCGCCGGCGCAGGAGCAGAGAGGCCCACAGCGCTGGCGAAAGGCGCAGAGAGGCCCACAGCGCCGGCGCAGGCGCAGAGAGGCCCACAGCGCTGGCGCAGGCGCAGAGAGGCAGAAGGCCCATGAGGGGAAGGTGAGACACCTGGGGCAAAGAAGAAAAAAAAATGCGCCGCGAAGCGGTGTCTGGGTCATCCAGGGACGAAAGTTTTTTCCCATCAGCCCTTGCGCTGGGCCCCAGGGACCCGGGCATCCCTGGTTCACGCCCAGGGTGTGCCTCAGGCGACTAGGGGTACCCCAACTTGGACAGAAGGCCCGTGAGTGGAAGTTGAAGTTTGTGGGAGGAGAGATGAGGCACCAGGGGCAGAAAAAAAAAAAAAGAGGACCGCGTCTCAGAGAAGCGGGGCCTAGGTCCCCCACGGATGAAAGTGCCTTCCCATCAGGCCCTATGCTGGGCCTGGTGGACCCTGGCGACCCTGGTTCAAGCCCAGGGTGCGCCTCGGGACAGCTTGGGGTACCACAAAGCGAACAAAAGGTCCATGAGGGGAAGGTGAGGCACCTGAGGCAGAGAAAAAAAAAAACGCTCAGCCGAGAAGCAGTGCCTGGGTCCCCCACGGATGAAAGTGCCATCCCATCAGCCCCTTCGCTGGGCCCTGGGGACCCTGGCGTCCCTGGTTTGACCCTGGGGTACGCCTCGGGACAGTAGGGGTACCCCAAGGTGGGCAGAAAGCCCCTAAGGGGAAGGTGAGGCACCTGGGGCAGAGAAAAAAAGAAAAACTTCGCCGCGGAGAAGCACGGCCTGGGTGCCCCACAGACGAAAGTGTCTTCCCATCAGTCCCTGCACTGGGACCCAGGGACACTAGTGTCCCTCGTTTGAGCTCAGGGTGTGCCTCGGCCGCTAAGTGCACCCCAAGGGGGGCTTTGGGGACACAAAGCCCGTGAGGGGAAGGTGAGTTTTGAGGGAGGAGAGGTGAGGCACCTGTCACAGAAAAAGAAAAAAAAGAAACCCGCGCCACGGAGAGGTGGGGCTTGGGTACCCCACGGATGAAAGTGCCTTCCCATCAGCCCCTGCACTGGGCCCCGGGGAACCTAGAGTCCCTGGTTCAAGCTCAGGGAGAGCCTCGGGCCACTAGTGGTACCCCAACGCGGTGGAAAGCCCATGAGAGGAAGGTGAGCTGTGAGGGAGGAGAGGTGAGACACTTGTGGCAGAAAAGAAAAAGAAACCGCGCCACGGAGAAGTGGGGCCTGGGTCTCCCATGGAAAAAAAGTGCCTTCCCATCAGTCCCTGAGCTGGGCCCCGTGGACCCAGGCGACCCTGGTTCTAGGCCTGGGTGCACCTCGGGCCCGCTAGGTGTACCCCAAAGCGGGCAGAAGGCCCATGAGGTAAAGGTGAGGTTTGAGGTAAGAGAGGTGAGGCACCTGCGGCAGAAAAAAAAAAAAAAACCGTGCGGAAGAGAAGCGGGGCCTGGTTCTCCCACGGACGAAAGTGCCTTCTCATCAGCCCCTGCCCTGGGCCCCCTGGACTCTGGCGACCCTAGTTCAAGGACCAGAAGAGACTCCGGCATGCTAGGGTACCCTAAGGAAGCCAGAAAGCCCACGAGGGGAAGGCGAGATTTAAGGGAGGAGAGGTGAGTCACTTGTGGCAGAAAAAAAAAAAAAAAATATATATATATATATATATATATATATATATATATATATATATATATATCAGTACCTCGGAGAAGCCGGGCCTGGGTCCCCACTGATGAAAGTGCCTTCCTGTCAGCCCCTGCGCTAGCCCCGAGAACCTGGCGACCCTGATTGGAGACCCGGCAGCGCCTCGGGCCTGCTCGTGGTACCCCAAAGCAGGCAGAAGGCCAATGAGGGGAAGGTGAGGCACCTGGGGCGGAGAAAAAAACCGCAGCTTTGAGAAGCGGGGCCTGGGTACCCACGGATGAAGGTACCTTCCCATCAGCGCCTGCGCTAGGCCCCGGCGACCCTGGCATCCATGGTTCGAGTCCAGGGAGCGCCTTGGGCCGCTAGGGGTACCCCAAGTCGAACAGAAAGCCCATGATGGGAAGTTGACGTTTGAGGGAGGAGAGGTGAGGAACCTGTGGCAGAAAAAAAAAAAGAAAACAAGCCGCGCCTAGGAGAAGCTGGGCCTGGGTCCCCCAAGAGTGAAAATGCCTTCCCATCAGTCCCTGCGCTGGGCCCTGTGGACGCTGGAGACCCCGGTTCGAGCCCCGGGTGCGCCTCGGGCCTGCTAGGGGTAACACAAGGCGGGCAGAAATCCCATGAGGGGCAGTTGAGGTTTGAGGAAGGAGAGGTGAGGCACCTGTGGCAGAAAAAAAAACTGCACCACGAAGAAGCAGAGCCTGGGTCCCCAACGGACGAAAGTGTCTTCCCATCAGCACTTGCGCTGGGCCCAGGGGACCCTGGCATTCCTGGTTCGAGACCAGGGTGTGCTTCAGGCCGCTAGGGATACCCAAAAGCAAGCAGAAGGCCCATGAGGGGAAGGTGATGCACGTGGGGCAGAGAAAAAAACAACAACCGTGCCGCGGATAAGCGGGGCCTGGGTCCCCCACAGAAGAAACTGTCTTCCCATCAGCGCTTGCACTGTGCCCCGGGGACCCTGGTATCCCTGGCTCGAGCCCAGCGTGCGCCTCGGCCTGCTAGGGGTACCCCAAGACAGACAGAAGGCCCATGAGGGAAAGGTGAGACACCTGGGGCAGAGAATAAAATAAAAAACTGCGCCGCCCAGAAGTGGGGACTGGGTCCCCCATGGACGAACGTCCCTACCCATCAGCCCTGCACTGGGCCCCGGAGACCCTAGCATCCCTGCCTCAAAACAACGGTGTGCCTCGGGTCGGCTAGGGGTACCTCAAGGCGGGCAGAAAGCCCATGACGGGAAAGTGAGGGACTGGGGAAAAAAAAAAAAAAACGCCACAGAGAAGCAGAGCCTGGGTCCCCGAGGAAGAACGTGTCTTCCCATCAGCCACTGAGCTTGGCCCAGTGGAATCTGGCTTCCATGGTTCGAGCCCAGGGTGTGCCTCGGGTCGCTAGGTGTACCCCAAAGCGTGCAGAAGGCACAAGAGGGGAAGGTGAGGCACATGGGGCAGAGAAAAAAAAAAACCTGCCGCGGAGAAGCGGGGACTGGGTCTTCCACACGGACGAAAGTGTCTTTCCATCAGGCCTTGCGCTGGGCCTCAGGGACACTGGAGTCCCTGGTTCGAGCCCACAGTGCACCTTGGGCCGCTAGGTGTACCCCAAGGCAGACAGAAGGCCCAAGAGGGGAAGGTGAGATTTGAGGAAGGACAGGTGAGGGATCTATGGCAGGAAAAAAAAACCGCGCCACGGAGAAGCAGGGCATGGGTCCCCCACAGACGAAAGTGCCTTCCCATCAGGCCCTGAGGGTTTGAGACAGAATGAGGAGTGACTAATGTCTACAGGGTTTTTCTCTGGTCTGGGGTGATAAGACGTTCTACAATGGATTGTGAATTAAAATTGAATGTGCACAACCACAGGTATACTAAAAGCCACTCAATTCATGACTTTTAATGGGGGTATCTTATGTGGCGCACTCTAATGGAGACCACGGCAGACATAGTGAGAGAGAAAAAGGTGAGTAAATATCTGAAACGGAGGCAGAAACAGAGAGAATGAAAAGCCCTGTGAATGGAAGGGAGAGCGAAAAGGGAAAATGGTCCTATTTACAAATGACAGATGTGAAACCGGGGTTCACATCAACAGTGTCACTGCCAGGAAGGAGGGTCATGCTAGCCATGTCACCGGTAGTGTGGCCCGCAGGGACGCCGACCTGCTGGAGCGTCGTGCCAGCATGGGCTCTGGCAGCCACGTGGGCCAGCAGGAGGGTCCTGCTGCACAGCTGTGGGGTGAGGATAGACTGGGTGGTGATATCGGCCATTACAGGGGACTCTTCTGCTGGCAAGAGTGTGACAGTAGCAAGTAGATGGACAGGCCTGCGTGTGAGGAAGGAATGCAGGAGGGGCTCTTGTGCGGCTGGTTGTGGGGCCCTCACCGGAAATGTGGAGAAATGGCCAGGTAACTGCGTCATGTGGGCTAGTAGATTGGCCAGGGCTTCGAACTGAAGGACAATAACGGGGAGTAGCTGTCAGGCCCTGGGAGTGTCTGAGTGTAAGTGGAGATGGGTTTGGGGTCACTGAGGGATGCGTGGGAGCCATCCCTGTATAGGTACAGGTCATAGGGAGATAGTCTCGTGAGGCCTGTGAGTGTCTAGGGTTGTCCTGGGTGCCTGGGGCTGACTGTGGTAGAAATCTGGGGAAGGCTGGAGAGAAGCTGGGAGACCCAGGAGAGTCCCTGAAGGCAGGGGGTGAAGAGGTGAAAGAAATGGGGGGAGGGTTGCAGTAAGGTCCGTGAGTTTGTAGGTGATTCCTGGGTGCGGGAAGCTGACTCCAGGTGAAATCTGGAGATGGTTGGAGAGTAGCTGAGAGAGACAGAAGAGTCCCTGAGGGCTGGGGGTGAGAACATGAGGGAGACTAGGGAGTAAGTCAGTGAAATTCGTGAGTTCGGTGGTGTATCGTGGGTGCCTGGAACTGACTCCAGCTGGAATCTAGAGAAGTTTTGACAGTAGCTGAAAGAGACACAAGAGTCCCTGTGGGCTGAGGGCAAAGACCTGAGAGAGACCAGGGAGGACCTCAGTGAAGTCTGTGAGTCTGTAGGTGATTCCGGAGTGTGAGAGGCTGACTCCCGCTGAAATCTGGGCGTGGTGGGAGAGGAGCTGGGACAGACAGGAGAGTCCCAGGGGGCTGGGGGTGAAGACATGAGAGAGACTGGGGAGGAACTCAGTGAAACTGCTGAGTTTGTAGGTGACTCCGGGGTGCCTGGAACTGACTGCAGCTGAAATGTGGGCATGGTTGGAGAGTAGCTGGGACAGACAGGAGAGTCCCTGAGGGCTGGTGAAGACATGAGAGAGACTGGAGAGTAATTGAGTGAAATTGGTGAGTTTGGTGGTGATTCCTGGGTGCCTGGAACGGACTCCCGCTGAAGTGTGGGCGTGGTTGCAGAGTAGCTGGGACACACAGGAGAGTCCCTGAGGGTTGGAGATAAAGACGTGCTAGAGACTGAAGAGTAACTGAGTGAAATTGGTGAGTTTGGTGGTGATTCCGGGGTGCCTGGAACTGACTCTAGCTGAAATGTGGGCGTGGTTGGAGAGTAGCTGGGACAGAAGGGAGGGTCCCTGAGGGATGGTGAAGACATGAGAGAGACTGGGGAGTAATGCAGTGAAATTGGTGAGTTTGGTGGTGATTTCTGGGTGCCTGCAACGGACTCCCGCTGAAGTGTGGGCGTGTTTGGAGAGTAGCTGGGACAGACAGGCGACTCCCTGAGGGTTGGAGATAAAGACGTGCTAGAGACTGGGGAGTAACTCAGTGAAAGTGGTGGGCTTGGTGGTGATCCCTGGGTTCCTGGAACTGACCCGCGCTGAAATGTGGGCGTGGTTGGAGAGTAGCTGGGACAGACTGGAGGGTCCGTAAGGGCTGGGGGTGAAGACGTGAGAGAGACTGGCGAGGATCTCACTGAGGTCTGTGAGTTTGTAGGTGTTTCTGGGGTGTGGGGTAGAGACTCCCGCCGAAATCTGGGCGTAGTTGGAGAATAGCTGGGACAGACAGGAGAGTCATGGGTGGCTGGGGGTGAGCTGCTGGATGATGGCAGTAAGAACATATGGTATATTATTGATGAATGAGGTGACTGTGAAGAATCTCCAGAGGAGGACACGGGAGAACACAATGACATGAGTGACTGTCCTGCTTGGTTAGGAAAGGGAAACGTAAAGCTGTGGAATTCTGTTGATGATGGATGTGAGAGTGGTGAAGCCCTGCGGGGTGATGTAGAGTACTTCCACATCCCTGGTGAGGAGCTGCCCCTTGGGTCTGAGTTTCTGGGAGGGGAGAGGGAGAAGCTGGGTGAGGCAGGCATGAATCTTGAGGAGTCAGAATATGAGTCACCGCTCATATTCTCCTGAGACCTGTGAGTCTCTGGGGGACTCCTGGGTGCATGGGGCTGGCTCCCGCAGGAACCTGGGGATGGCTGGAGAGTAACTGGGAGCCACAGGAGAGTCCCTGAGGCCTGGGGGTGAAGAGATGAAAGACACAGGGGTGGAGCACCATGAGGCTCGTGAGTTTGTAAGTGATTCCTGGGTGTGGGGGGCTGACTCCAGCTGAAATCTGGGGTTGTTTGGAGAGTAGCTGGGAGACACAGGAGACCCCCCGAGAGCTGGGGGTGAGCTGCTGGATGATGGCAGTAAGAGCATGTGGTATATTATTGATGAACGTGGGGGATCTGAGGAATCCGCAGAGGAGGACACGGGAGAGCCTAATGTCTTCATTGATTGCCCATCAATCAATACTTCTTTAACCTGACTGAAGAACTGATCTAAAGGCTTTAGTACAGTGCATGATTATGTGAGATGCTTTGAGACAGAGTAGTACATTTGTGAATAAAATTTTATGGCTTTTTTTCGCTTAGTAGGAACCATTGTGTGTGGAAAAGTGAGGAAATTGCTTTCTGCTGTAGAGTCTGGCATTCATTGTAGATTTAAGCTTATTTTTCTGTGAGCAAATCTTATTCAATAAAATACTACTCTTTATACTAAAAAACAAAAACACTGGTGATGTGAGGTCATTATCCTCAGCAAACTAATCCAGGGAAAGAAAACCAAACGCCACATTCTCACTTATAATGGGAGCTGAAAAATGAGATCACATGGACACAGGAAGGGGAACAACACACACTGGGGCCTTTCGGGAGGCAGAGCGTTAAGAAAAACAGCTACTGCATGCTGGGCTTAATACCTAGGTGATGGGTTGACAGGTGCAGCAAACCACCATGGCACACGTTTACCTTAGTAACAAATCTGCACATCCTGCACATATACCCCGAACTTAGAAACGAAACGAAACAAAAGAAAACGAAAAAGCAATAACAAAACGCTAAAGGCAAAATAAAGTTTCAAACTCAGAAAGTGACAGACCAATGTTTGGTTCAAATCATGGGTTCTCAACCCAGGTGCCATAAGGTCAGGATAAAATATTTGATTATGTATTGTAAATAAGTCATGCAGCAAAAGACCAGAGAGATTATTCTCAACATATGTGTGTCTTCTAATTCAATGGTGACGCTATCTACCGGGACATAGCGTTAGATTCCAAAGGGCCGAGTCCCGCCAGACAGGCCTCCCACACTAATAACAATGGGAAGCCCTACGTTGTTTTACCTGTGCTTCTCAGCAACTGGCTATAAATCAGGTTGCCACCACTCCCAGATTTAGTTGCATTCATTTGCTAGAAGAGCTCACAGCACGCAGGTAAACACTTACATTTGCCATTGTATTTTAGCGGACATTGCAAAAAGTTCAGAAATAAATGTGGGGCCCGGCATGTGGGGAGGGGCGCACTACCTTCCAGGAAGTGTTATCCAGAAGCCCTCTGAACCCAGTCCTTTTGGGTTTTTATGGAGACCTCCTTCTATAGGCATGATGGGTTAAACCATAGGCTATTGGTGATCAGCTCCACCCGAGGCTCTCAACCCTCCCTGGAAATTGGGGTTGAGGCTTTGCCATTCTCAGTCTGACTAAAAGAATTTACCCAAACGGAATTTTAAAACAGATGAGCATAACTGGAATCTTAATTACATGATTGGATTATCTGGAGCCACACCTTGATATTCCTAACCCGAGCACCCTCATCCAACGAATGCTCCACCCAACTGGCTCCCAAGTCTCTACGTGGTTCCAGAGCAAAAGAATGTTTATACAACGCATATCTCCACCTTTTCTTCAAAGTCTTTTCGTTTACACGGAAAGACTTCTTAAACTGCCATGAATCAGGGTCAGGGGGAGGTCTTGTTACAACACAGATCTGTGCATCTCCGGGGTTTGATTGTGGCAAGGATGCTGCTGGTGTCAAAACCACAACGTGGGAACCACAGAACCACTAGTTGGTTTTCAGTGTTTCAGTGCATACAATTCCTAATATATCTGGCCAAGGAAATTTGTAAGTTATTAGATTGTCCCAAAGGTGGCGCATGAAATCAAAGCAGGAGAACAGTTTCCTACCAGGTGTAGCCTGGAAAAGTTGGGGGTGACTGATGGAAAGGAGGAGTGAAGCTCCTCCCTTTCCGCTGCTAGGCTGCGCCCGAGGCTATTTAAACCCACCCTGGCTGGCCTGTACTCAGATCTTCGCGGAGCGGATCAGCGGCCGGAGCGTTTGGCGGACTCTGCGTGGACTTGGAGCTCACAGCGTCTTGCGACTTGGAAGCGGATTCAGAGGACAGGACAGAACACTTGGGCAAGTGAATCTCTGTCTGTCTGTCTGTCTGTCTGTCTCATTGGTTGGTTGATTTCCATTTTCTTAAGGGGCACATACCTCACACCGCACACACACAAACACACACCGCACACACAAACACACACACACACACACGCGCACACACACACTCCTTCCTTCTGCGAGTTAGAAAATTGGTACGGGCCCCTGGGAGCTGCAGGTTTCCTAATCATGTCTGCACCTAAGAACAGTAGGGTCTTGTCTGGCTCTTCTTATGAACGGTCCCCCAGCTGGGACTCCCCAAGGTCCATGCGAGCCTCACCCAGCTTCTCCCTCTCCCCTCTCAGAAACTCAGGCTTAAGGGGAAGCTCCTCACCAGGGATCCGGAGCTACCATTCACCATCCCCTAGGGCTTCACCACACTCACCTCTGTCATCACCAGAATCCCACAAGCTCCCATTTCCCTGTCCTCACCGTGATGGGCAATCAATGAAGCCATTGGGCTCTCCCGTGTCCTCCTCTGAGGATTCCTCAGAGTCCCCACGTTCATCAATAATATACCACATGCTCTTACTGCCATCACCCAGCAGCTCACCCCCAGCTCTCGGGGGGTCTCCTGTGTCTCCCAGCTACTCTCCAAACAACCCCAGATTTCAGCTGGAGTCAGCCCCCCACACCCAGGAATCACCTACAAACTCACGAGCCTCACGGTGCTCCACCCCTGTGTCTTTCATCTCTTCACCCCCAGGCCTCAGGGACTCTCCTGTGGCTCCCAGTTACTCTTCAGCCATCCCCAGGTTCCTGCGGGAGCCAGCCCCATGCACCCAGGAGTCCCCCAGAGACTCACAGGTCTCGGGAGAATATGAGCGGTCCCCCAGCCCTGACTCCTCAAGATTCATGCCTGCCTCACCCAGCTTCTCCCTCTCCCCTCCCAGAAACTCAGACCCAAGGGGCAGCTTCTCACCAGGGATGTGGAAGTACTCTACATCACCACGCATGGCTTCACCACTCTCCTTACCATTAGAACACTCAGTAATCATATGAATTGTGCAGTTGTTGTTTTGCTTAACTCTTTTTGTTTGTTTATGCTTGGGGTTTTATTGTTGTTGTTTCACTTTTCTCCCATCTCTTCCTGACTTGGTCAAATCCAAAGGAATGTTCCAAATTGTGGGGAGCAAGGCCTCTGAATTGGCTAAAACTCCTATGGCTGCAAAAAAACAAACAAATAAACAACAACAAAAAGCATTCCAGTTAGCAGAAATTATTTTTTAAACCTTTTTTGTTACGTAACTAGTCTCATCTACATAAAAAGGTCATCCTTTTGCTAGCCAAGGCCAAACTGAAGGAGTAGTGGTGGTGACCCAATGTGAAGATTCTGCCCTGTTCACTACAGGAACCTGAGTTTTGTTCCTAAATCTAGTTCTTTCTGTTTGATATTTGTGTTACTTTTAAAACGTCAGCAGTTTGTCCCAGCTATGATGTGGTAGTAAAAGATTCAAAAGGGGTTTCTTTACAGGTTCTATGATTAAAAGCTTAATTAAAAGCAAATTTCTTTTTTTAAAAATTATACTTTAAGTTCTGGGGTACATGTGCAGAACATGCAGGTTTGTTACATAGGTATACACATGCCATGGCGGCTTGCTGCATCCATCAACCCATGATCTACATTAGTTATTTCTCCTAATGCCATCCCTCTCCTAGCCCCCCACGCTGACAGGCCCTGGTGTGTGATGTTCCCCTTCCTGTGTCCATGTGTTCCCATTGTTCAACTCCAAGTTATGAGTGAGAACATGTGGTGTTTGGCTTTCTGTTCTTGTGTTAGTTTGCTGAGAATGATGCTTTCCAGCTTCATTCATGTCCCAGCAAAGGACGTGGATTCATCCTTTTTATGGCTACATAGTATTCCATGGTGTATATATGCCACATTTTCTTTATCCAGTCTATCATTGGTGGGCATTTGGGTTTGTTCCAAGTCTTTGGTTTTGTGAAAAGTGCCGCCATAAACAGACAGGTGCATGTGTCTTTATATTAGAATGATTTATAATTTTGGGGGTATTTACCCAGTAATGGGATTGCTGGATCAAATGATATTTCTAGTTGTAGATCCTTGAGGAATTGTCACACTGTCTTCCACAATGGTTGAACTAATTTATATTCCCACCAACTGTGTAAAAGCGTTCCTATTTCTCCACATCCTGTCCAGCATCTGTTGTTCCCTGATTTTTTAACGATAGCCATTCTAAGTGCTGTGAGATTGTATCTCATTGTGGTTTTGATTTCCATTTCTCTAATGACCAGTGATGATGTGCTTTGCTTCACATGTTCGTTGGCTGTATAAATGTCTTCTTTGGTAAGTGTCTGTTCATATCCTTTGTCCACTTTTTGAGGGGGTTGTTTGTTTTTTTTTTCTTGTAAGTTTGTTCTTCGTAGATTCTGCATATTAGCCCTTTGTCAGATGGATAGATTGCAACAATTTTCTCCCATTCTCTGGGTTGCCTGTTCACTCTGATAATAGTTTCTTTTGCACTGCAGATACTGTTTAGTTTAGTTAGATCCCATTTGTCAATTTTGGCTTTTGTTGCCATTGTTTTTTGTGTGCTGGTGATGAAGTCTCTGCCTATGGCTCTGTCCTGAATGGTATTGCCTAACACAAGGACATTTATGTGCCTGAGTGCTATACCACCCAAAGTAATTTATAGATTCATTGCTATCCTCATTAAGCTACCATTGACTTTCTTCATAGAATTAGAAAAACTACTTTAAATTTCATATGGAACCATAAAAGAGCCCACATAGCCAAGACAATCCTAAGCAAAAACAACAAAGCTAGAGGCATCACAGTACCTGACTTCAAATTATTCTACAAGGCTACAGTAACCAAAACAGCATGGGGCTGGTACCAAATCAGATCTATAGACCAATGGAACAGAACAGAGGCCTCAGAAATGACACCACACATCTAAAACCATCTGATCTTTGACAAACCTGACAAAAACAAGCAATGGGTAAAGGATACCCTATTTAATAAATGATCTTGGGAAAACTGCCTAGCCTTACGCAGAAAACTGAAACTGGGCCACACCCATACAACTTAAACAAAAATTAAGTAATATGGATGAAAGAGTTAAATGCAAGACCTAAAACAATAAAAAATCTAGAAGAAACCTAGGCCAACAACCTCAGGGGAAATGTACCTGTAGTGAAATGCATGGTACAAACACGCATTCCTTGCTTCCTTGAGTGGGTGACGTTGATGGCTAGTCCAATCACTCCAGGCACACCCTTGCAAACGTGGCTGGTTCCTTTTTGAGCCAGCTTGGCTTTGCCCAGCATGCACAAGTCAGTGCAACAACTGTGACACAAATGGAGCCATACAGAGAAAATGAGCAGCAGGCTCAGGAGCAGGGTGTGCGCTGCCTTGGGGGCTCCAGTCCATGCCTCAGGGCTCATATGGCACTGCGGGCTTCTTGGGTGCAAAGAGGCAGACCACAGGCCATCTTCAGGAGGCCTTTATTTTGAAGTGCAGAAAGCAGCCAGGATTACCACCCGTGGGACTCGGCCTTTTGTGACCCTGGCCTGACAGAGTTTGGCCCAAGGCAGGACAAGCTCACTCAGAGCAACGTGTCAGTACCTGGGGCCTGTGCATGCCAGTCAAGGCCAAGCTGGCTCAAAGAGCAACCAGCCACCTCTGCAAGGGTGTGCCTGGAGCAGGTGGACCAGCCACCAACCTCACCCACTGAAGGAAGCCAGGATGGCCAGGTTTCCACAGCCTGAGTGGCTGCCTACTGATGGCTGATGGAGCAGAGGCCTGAGGAAAAGCAGGTGGCATGTTTAACTCTTTAATCTATCTTAAGTTAATTTTTGTATAAAGCAGATGGCACCAGTCCATGCCTCGGGGTTCATATGGCACTGTGGGCCACAGAAGGCTGAGTCCCCTGGGTGGTAATCCTGCCTGCTTTCTGCACTTGAACATAAAGTCCTCCTCAAGACGGCGTGTGGTCTACTTCTCGGCCCCACCTTTAGGGTAGAAGAACTGATGTACCACGTCTGACAGTGAGTGAGGTTGGCGGCTGGTCCACCTGCTCCTGGCACACCTTGCAGAGGTGGCTGCTTGCTCTTTGAGCCAGCTTGGCCTTGCCTGGCATGCACAAGCCTCACTGCAACAAGTGTACAACAAATGGAGCCATAAAGAGGAAATGATCAGCAGGCTCAGGAATCGGGCGTGCACTGCCTTTGTGGCTCCAGTCCATGCCTCAGGGCTCGTATGGCACTGTAGGCTTCTTGGTCGCCAAGAGGCAGACAACAGACGGTCTTGAGGAGGACTTTATGTTCAAGTGCAGAAAGCAGCCAGGATTAGCACCCAGGGGACTCGGCCTTCTGTGGCCCTGGCCAGAGGTAGAATTTGGCCCAACACACTACAAGCTGACTTGGAACCGCATATAGGTAGCTGGGGCCTGTGCATGCCAGGCAAGGCCAAGCTAGATCAAAGAGCAAGCAGCCACCTCTGCAAGGGTGTGCCTGGAGCAGGTGGAGAAACCACCAACCTCACCCACTCAAGGAAGCAGGGATGGCCAGATTCCTACAGCCTGAGGGGCTGCCTCCTGATGGCTGATGGAGCAGAGGCCTAAGGAAAAGCAGATAGCACTGTGGCCCTATCTGTAGGGTAGAAGAACTGATGTAACCCGACCGGCAGCAAGTCAGGTTGGTGGCTGGTCCACCAGCTCCAGGCACATCCTTGCAGAGGTGGCCGGTTGCTTTTTGAGCCAGCCTGGCCTTCCTCAGTATGCACTAGTCAGTGCAACAACTGTGACACAAATGGAGCCACACAGAGAAAATGATCAGCAGGCTCAGGAGCAGCGTGTGCGCTGCCTTGGGGGCTCCAGTCCATGCCTCAGGGCTCATATGGCACTGCGGGCTTCTTGGTTGCAAAGAGGCAGACCACAGGCCATCTTCAGGAGGCCTTTATGTTGAAGTGCAGAAAGCAGCCAGGATTACCACCCGTGGAACTTGGCCTTTTGTGACCCTGGCCTGACAGAATTTGGCCCAAGGCAGGACAAGTTCACTTGGAGCAACGTGTCTGTACCTGGGGCCTGTACATGCCAGGCAAGGCCAAGCTGGCTCAAAGAGCACCCAGAGCATCCATTCTGGTGGATGAGCCAACCACATGGCCAGCTTCTGGGTGTGGGCACAGTGCCACATCTTCCATCACTTTCTGATATATCCCACCACCACTGAAGAGACAGCCTGGAGAGAGTGCAAGAGGAAGGCTGAGAAGGATGAGATGGTGAGTGCTGGCTTCTTTCTGACCCTCAGCACACCCGCAGGTGGTGACCATCAACCTTTAGGGGTGGGAGAGCAAGATTGATGGCTTCAAATACTTCCCCAAGTAGATGGACACAGGCCACTCAGCTCAATCTCACAGCCAATGAGTTGACATGCAAGCAGATGACAGTGACAGACTTTTAGAAAGAGCTTCAGAAGGCGGCCAGTTTTTCTTCGGCCTCAGCCAGGCCTTGGAACTTGACTAGGCCATCCACTTCACCAGAGATGCCTTCAAGAACATCAGTGAGCTCCTTGCCAATCCGTCCAGGAAGGACCTGGACCCAGCCATGGACCTGTTAGTGCTGTCTCAGGGACACCAGACCAACATCCTGGACATCATCCTCATACACAAGGAAGCTCTTACCAAAGTCACGAAGAACAGGCAACATGTGGCAGAAGAGAAGACAAAGGTACAGAGGCTGATGGCATCATTATCACAGGAACAGGATTTCTTTGGCCACTTTGGCTGAAATTCACCACTTCCATCCAATCCACTCAAGCGAGACTTGAAATCACAGATGGAACATTTCTTGCAACAAGAGATACGATTTTTTCAAAAAGTCACCTAAAATTTGATAGTGTTGAATGACTAGCTATTCGATTGTGGACTTTTTCCAGTTCACGGGTACTTTCTACAGCAGAATGATAACAGTATCAAAGAGCTGGTGCCAGCTATCAGTGGTAGTATAAGGATGACTTTGTGCTCAACTGAAACCCAGCTGAATATAGAATTGTGTAGGAAAGTGTTAATATGGTGATAGAATAGAAACAGTAGCAAATGAACTAAATCATACTATGAATGCCTACACTACCATTATAACTTTTTGAAGAATGATAATACCACTTACTTTATTGCCTTTTGAAGTAGGAGTAGGAATATTTTAGTGGATATGCTATAGACCAGAAACCCTATAAAGAATCCCAAAGAAGCTGGCTGGATAAAGCCTGCTATGGATGTCTTTATACTCAAAGACTGATGAGGCAATTCGAATATGTGTCCCCACCAAATCTCATGTTGAGTTATGCTTCCTAATGTTGGAGGTGGATCCTGGTATAAGGTGACTGAATCATGAAGGCAAATTTCTCATGAGTGGTTCAGCACCATCCCCTTGGTACTGTCCTCACAATCATGAGTGACTTCTCGTGAGATCTGGCCACTGAAAACTCTATATCACTCCGTACTCTCCGTGATTTCCTCTTGCCATGTGAGACAATTCACTCTTTCATTACCTTGCACAATGATTGAAAGATTTCTGAGGCCCCCCAGAAGCAGAAGCACTAAGCTTCCTGTCCATTCTGCAGAACCATGAGCCAATTAAACTTCTTTTTCAAAATAAATCTTACCAAAAATGGCAAATGAGGACTGGAGCATTGCTATAAAGATACCTGAAAATGTGGAAGCAACTTCGGAACTGGGTAATGAGTAGAGGTTGGAAGAGTTTGGAGGGCTCCAAAGAAGACCGACAGATGAGAACATTTTTGGACCATCTTAGAGACTGGTTAAATGGCTGTGACAAGAATGCTGACAAAAACATGGACAGTGAAGGCCAGGCTGAGGGGGCCTCAGATAAAAATAAGAAGCTTTCTGGAAAATGTCTCCCTTTTGGATATGGAAAGCTTACACAATGCCTGTACCATCATTGTACCTTAGACACAGTGAACTTGCTTTTTATTTCAGAGACTCGTAGGCAAAAGAGAATGTAGCCTTGACCCAGATGAGACTTTGGACTTTGTAACTTTGAGTTAATGCTGAAATGAGTTAAGACTTTGGGAGACTGCTGGCAAGGCATGACTGTATCTTGCAATGTGAGAAGGACATGAGATTTGTGGGGTCAGGGACAGAATAATACGGTTTTTCTCTATGCCCCTTCCAAAACTCATGTGAAAGTACACTCCCTAATGTTAGAGTCGGGGCCTAGGTGGAAAAAGCTTTAATCATAAAGGAGTGGGAGTGGATCCTTCACAAATGGCAAAGCACCAAGCCCTTAATGCCATCCTCCTGATAGTGAGTGAGTTCTCATGAGATCTAGTAGTTTAAAAGGCTGTGGAACCTCTTTCCTCTCTCTGTCTTGTTCCAACTTCTGCCATATGAAACATGTCATTGCCGCTTGGATTTCCGGTGTGGTTAGGAGGGACCTGATCAGTGTGGGCCTGGTCAGTGGACCTAGGTCAGTGAGGACTATTTAGTGGGATCGTGGTCAGCAGGGGTCTGCTTAGAGAGGGTCTCATTAGTGGGGTCTAGTAGTGGGGTTTTGGTGAGTGGGGACCTATTGGCTGCCAGTTGTTTGGTGTCTGGTCAGTGCAAACCTGGGCTGTGGGGCTTGATCAGTGGAGACCTGGTCAGCTGGGGCTTAGTGCTGGCCTGGTCAGCATGGGCTGGGGCACTGGTGACCAGGTCAAGGGGTGCTATTCAGTGGAGGACTGGGCACATGGGACCTAGTCAGCAGACCCTGGTGGGCGTGTCCTCATCAGTGAGGTCCTTGTCAGTGGGGCCCTGGTCAGGGCAGCCTTGTCAGCGGGACCTAATCTGTAGCGTCCTGGTCAGAGAGGACTTGGTCAGTGGTGACTTTTGCAGTACTAGTCTACAGGGTGACCTGGTCAGCGGGGATCTCAGCATTTGGTGCCAGTTCAGTGGGGTCTACTCACTAGGGTCCCAGTCAGGGGCATCTGGTGATCTTAGGCCTGGTTATTAGGGGCCTGATCAGTGGCAACCTGTTCCCTGGAGGTCTGGTCAGTGGGGCCTCATCTTTGGGGCCAGGGAATGAGGTCATGATCAGTGGAACCTGATCAGTGAGGCCTTGTCAATAATGACATAGTCAGTGAGGACTTGTCAGTAAGGACTTGGTCCGTGAGGCCTTGTCAGTGAGGCCTTGTCAGTAAGGTCCTGGTCAGTGGAGTCCTTGTCATTGTGTGCCTGGCAGTGGGGCCCTTGTTAGTGGGGCCTGGTCATGAGGTTCTAATCAGTGAGGGTTTCATCAGGGAGGACCTGATGTGCGGGGTCTGGTCAGCAGGGACCTGGTCAATGTGGGCTGCTGAGCACTGCTTGGATAAGCCAGGTGCAATGTGCATTATTGAAGGCCTTGTGGACAGCTGGGATAGCCCAGTGATGCCCAAGGGCCTAGTCAAAAGTGGACAAAGCACGTATTTGGATGGACCTGGGAGATCCTGCTCAGAGATCCTGACAGGACAAAGGTAAAGGAAGGGCCAGAGTGACTGGAGAGATGGTCACAGTCTATGGGCTGCACAGGATGGAGGAGGCCAGGGAAAAGGCAGGGTGGGCAGTTGGGGTTCAGGGAGAGGCAGGTGCATGCTGGGAGGTCAGACCCTGTGAAGGCTTTGGGGGCGTCAGGTTGGGTAGGCTCCAGACACTCTCGCTCACATAGGATTCCAGAACACTGCTACAAGGCTCTGAGTGTTTGTCCCTCACATAGGATTCCAGAACACTGCTGCCATTGTCTGAATGTTTGTCCCCCACATAGGATTCCAGAAGCCTGCTGCTGGGGTCTGAATGTTTGTCCCCCATCTAGGATTCCAGAACACTGCTGCGAGGGTCTGTATGTCTGTCCCTCACATATGATTCTAGAACATTGATGCTAGGGTCTGTATGTTTGCCCTTAACATATGATTTCAAAACACTGCTCCTGGATTCTGAATGTTTGTCCTTCACATAGGAATACAGAACACTGTTGCTGGAGTCTGAATGGCTGTCACTCACATAGAATTCCAGAACACTGCTGTGAGGATCTGAAAGTTTGACCCTCACATGGGATTCCAGAACACTGCTGCGAGTGTCTAAATGTCTGTCCCTCACACAGGATTCCCGAACAATGTTACGAGGTTCTGAATGTTTGTCCCTAACATAGGATTCCAGAGCACTCCTGCTGTGCTCTGAATGCTTCTCCCTCACATAGGATTCCAGAACACTGCTATGAGGGTCTGAATGCTTATCCCTCATATAGGATTCCAGAACACTTCTGCTGTGGTCTGAATGTTTGTTCCTCACATAGGATTCCAGAATACTCCTGCCATGGTCTGAATGTTTGTCCCTCACATAGGATTCCAGAACATTCATGCTGGGGTCTCAATATTTCCCTTAACATAGGATTTCAGAACACTGCTCTTGGGGTCTGAATGTTTGTCGCTCACATAGGATTACAGAACACTGCTGCTGGAGTCTGAATGTTTGTCAGTCACATAGAATTC